>NC_000001.11:246184121-246335636 GCF_000001405.40 Homo sapiens | reverse complement strand
TCCTGGATTATTTTCAGATTTAGAATATTGCTTTTATTTTCTATTGTGCAGTTACATTTGGACTATTAAAATTTAATGTTTATGACTCTTGATGTTCAAAACCAGTATAAATGAAAGTTAAATTTTAGGTCACCTATGTTCTCCCCACTCTTGTTTTAATAGAAAAAAGCTTGGCCAGACCACAAGCGGGAATGCAAATGCCTTAAAAGCTGCAAACCCAGATATCCTCCAGACTCCGTTCGACTTCTTGGCAGAGTTGTCTTCAAACTTGTGAGTATAAAACTCATGAAATATAGCTGGGTTTTGGTTAAATAAACATATGCAATTGCATTTTCCGGTATACCTCAGAGATGTTGCAGGTTCAGTTTCAGACTACCACAATAAAGCAAATATTGCAATAAAATGAGTCTCACAAATTTTTTGGCTTCCCAGTAAATATAAAAGTTATGTTTACATTATACCGTAGTCTATTAAGTGTTCAGTAGCATTATGCCAACAGAACAATGTACATACTTTAATTAAAAAATATATTTCTAAAACTGCTAAGGATCATTAGACCCTTCAGTGCATCATCATCTTTTCGCTGGTGGATGTTGATGGCTGCTGACTAATCAAGTGGTGGTTGCTGAACTTTGGGGTGGCTGTGGCAATTTCTTAAAATAAGACAACAGTCGAATTTGCCGCATTGATTGCCTCTTCCTTTCGCAAATGATTTCACTGTAACATATGATGCCTCACAGCTTCTTCACCAGGAGTAGGTTCCATCTCAAGAAACCACCTTCTTTGTTCATTCATAAGAAGCAACTCCTCATCTTTTCAAGTTTTATCATGAGATTGCAGAAAATCAGTTAATTTTTAATCAGTTAATTTATAATTCTTTAGGCTCTACTTCTCTCTGTTTTAAAAAAAGTTTTGCTTTTATTTTAGATTCAGGGGGTACATGTGCAGATTTGTTACATGGGTATATTGCATGATGCTGAGGTTTGGGGTATGATGGATCCCATCACCGAGGTAGTGAGCATGGTACCCAGTAGCTAGCTTTTCATCTCTTGCCCACTCCCTGCTTCTTACCTCCCCCTCGTATTCCCCAGTGTCTGCTATTCCCATCTTTGTGTCCATGTCCACCCAATATGTAGCTCTCAGTTGTGAGTAAAAACCTGTGGTATTTGGTTTTCTGTTTTTATGTTAATTCACTTAGGATAATGCCCTCCAACTGCATTCATGTTGCTCCAAAAGACATGATTTCACTCTTTTTAATGGTTGCATGGTATTTCATAGTGTTTATGTATCACATTTTCTTTATCCATTGTGCTGTTAATGGGCACCTAGATTGATTCCATGCCTTTGCTGTTGTGAATGGCACTGTGATGAGTGTATGAGTACATGTATCTTTTTGGTAGAGTGATTTATTTTCCTTTGGATATATACCCAACAGTGGGATTGCTGGGTTGAATGGTAACTCTTTGAGAAATCTCCAAACTGCTTTCCACAGTGGCTGAACTAGATTACATTCCCACTAACAGTAGATAAGTGTTCCCTTTTCTCTGCAGCCTCACCAGCATGTGTTTTTTTTTTATTTAATAATAGCCACTCTGACTGTTATGAGATGGTGTCTCATTGTGGTTTTGATTTGCATTTCTCTGATGATTAGTAACGTAGAGCATTTTTCCTATGTTTTTTGGCCACCTGTATGTTGTCTTTTGAGAAGTGTCTGTTCTTGTCCTTTGTGCACTTTTTATTTTCACTTTTTGAGACAGGGTCTCACTCTGTTGCCCCAGGCTGGAGTGCAGTAGCATGATCATGGCGCACTGCAGCCTCAACCTCTGGGGCTCAAGCAGTCCTCCTACCTCAGCTTCCCGAGTAGCTGGGACCACAGGTGCATGCCACCACGCCCCGCTAGTTTTTGTGTTTTTTCCTTTTTTTTTTGGAAAGACGAAGTTTCATCATGTTTCCCAGTCTGGTCTCAAACTCCTGGGCTCAAGAAATTCTCCCACCTAGGCCTCCCCAAGTGCTGGGATTATATAGGTGCGAGCCACTGTGGTGGCCCTTTGTCCAGTTTTTAATGAGGTTGTTTGTTTTTTACTTGTGAATTGCTTAAGTTCCTTATAGATTCTGGATATTAGACCTTTGTTGGCTGCATAGTTTGCGAATATTTTCTTCGATTCTGTAAGTTGTCTATTTACTCCATTGCAGGTTTCTTTTGCTGTGCAGATGCTCTTTATTTTAATTAGGTCCACTTGTCAATTTTGTTTTTGTTGCAGTTGCTTTTGAGGACTCATCATAAATTCTTTGCCAAGACTGATGTGTAGAAGGGTATTTCCTAGGTTTTCATCTTGATTCCAGCTCCTTCGTTCTTGCTATCACATCTACACTTACTTCCTCTACTGAAGTCTTGACCCCTCAGTGTTATCCATGAAGGTTGGAACCAAGTTCTTCTGAATCTTCTGAACTCCGGTTCATGTTGCTGTTTTGACCTCCCACTGGTAAAGCATAGGCAAAGTCGATTTACCACAAATAGTAAGGGCCCTGGCATTTTAGGAATGGTAAATGAACACTGGCTTCAACCTAAAGTCACCAGCTGCATTAGTCCCTAAAAAAAAGTCCACTTGTTCTTTGAAGCCAGGCATTGAATTCTCTCTAGCTATGAAAGTCCTAAGTGACATCTTCTTCCAATATAAGGCTGTTTCATCTACATTAAAAATCTGTTGTTTAGTGTAGCCAAATTCAATTATTTTAGTTAGGTCTCCTGGATCATTTGCTGTAGCTTCTATATCAGCACTTGCTGCTTCACCTTGCACTTTTTTAGATTTATGTATGTATGTATGTTTTGAGATGGAGTCTTGCTTTGTCACCCAGGCTGGGGTGCAGTGGCGTGAGCTTGGCTCACTGCAACCTCCGCCTCTTAGGCTCAAGCGATTGTCCTGCCTCAGCCTCCTCAGTAGCTGGGACTACAGGCGCCCACCACCATGGCCAGCTAAATTTTTTGTACTTTTAGTAGAGACAGGGTTTCACCATGTTGGCCAGGCTGGTCTCGAGCTCCTGACCTCAGGTGATCTGCCCGCCTTGGCCTTCCAAAGTGCTGAGATTGTGGGCGTAAGCCACCGCACCTGGCCACCTCGTGCTTTTATGTTATGGAGATGGCTTCTTTCCTTAAACCTTATGAACCAACCTCTGTTAACTTCCAGCTTCTCTTCTGCAATTTTCTCCCCTCTCTCAGCCTTCACAGAATTGAAGCAAGTTAGGGCTTTCCTCTGGATTAGGCTTTGGCTCAAGGGAATATTGTGGCTGTTTTGATCTTCTATATCCAGGCCACTCAGACTTTCTCTAGATTAGCAATAAGACTGTTGTGCTTTCTTATCACTCATGTGTTCATGGGAGTAGCTCTTTTCATTTTCTTTCAGAACTCTCCCTTGTGTTGACAACTTGGCTGTTTGGTGCAAGAGGCCTGACTTATGGTCTATATCAGCTTTCAATATTTCTTTCTCACTAAGCTTACTCATTTTTCTAGCTTTTGATTTAAAATGAGAGATGTGTGACTCGTCCTTTCACTTATAGGTCATTGTAAAGTTATTAATTGGCCTAATTTCAATATTGTTGTGTCAGAGAATACAGAGGCCTGAGGAGAGGGAAGAGATAGGGGAATAGCCAGGCAGTGGGAATAAGCCGGTCGGCGGAGCAGTGAGAACACGCACAACATTTATTGATTAAGTTTGTGGTCTTATATGGGGATGGTTTGTGGTACCCCAAAACAATTACAGTAGTAACATTAAAGATCTCTGATCACAGGCCACAGTAACAGATATAATAATAACCAAAAGTTTGAAATATTGTGAGAATTCCAAAATGTCACACATAGACACAAAGTGAACACGTGTTGTTAGAAAAATGGTATGGACAGACTTGTTCGATGATGTAAATCTTCAGTGCAATGTCTGCAAAGCACTATAAAGTGAAGTGTGATAAAATGAGGTATGCCTGTGTTATTCCTATTTAAGGCTGAAATTAACCCCATGTTAATGTAGAAGGTAGATTATTCCAGGGAGTGTCTTAGACAAAAAAATTTGTTCTTTTCCTATTAATCATGGAATCTGTAGCAGTGAAGAAATACACAGTCTCTCTTTGAAGGCCCTGCTATCTTCTTGTGGGAATAAAGATGGAGGAGGTTCTATCTCTGAGGTATGAGATGGTAGTAATCTCTGTTACATTGCCTTTATAACTTGGGTATTGTAAACTAATGCACAGGGCGAGCATGTCATTTTCTACTTTCCTCTTCAAGGAAGATACACATACATAATTAGTATTGACTGGAAGAGTACTTATCTTATTTCCTAAAATTCACTGAAGTGATTTCTTCGGCCCTTTTTCATAAGTGGCAAAACAGTAAACTCTGTGAAATCTTGCTGTGGTGAAGCCTTTTAGATTTTTTTACCCATCTTTAGTGTGAATATCTTTCTCAAATTATTGTAGGCTCCCGATTTGTCCTTCTCCTTTTTTTCTTTTTTGAGACAGGGACTTGCTCTGTTACCCAGGCTGGAGTATAGTAGCACAATCATAGCTCATTGCAAGCTTGAACTGCTGGGCTCAAGTGATTCTCCCTCCTCGGCCTGCTGAGTAGCTGGGACTACAGGTGCATGCCACCATGCCTGGCTAATTTTTGTATGTTTTTTAGGCATAGGGTTTCGCCATGTTGCCCAGGCTGGCCTTGAACTCCTGGGCTAAAGCAATCTGCCTGCCTCGGCCTCCCAAAGTATCGGGGATTATAGGTGTGAGCTACCATGCCCCACCTTTTCCTATTGTTTACTGACTCTTTTGGCCGGTACACGATTTTATAGAGGGTTTTATGAATATAAAAATATGGGAACTTTTTGTACAAGAGTTTTGCATTTGGAGATTAAACTGTTGAGTGAAGATACAAGTTAGATTTTTATTTTAAAGTTGTTGATTAATTCAGTCTAATGAGAGTGATGAATAGAAAGAATATATAGAAAATGTTCTTTTTGATGGACTTTCATTTAAATATACAAAGGTACTCAAACTTATTTGTTTATATATTGGAACACTTGAAATTGTTATTGGCGTTTTCCCCTTTTCCTTCACAGATGGATGGAGCACCTTCAGAATCAGAGAAGCTTTACTCATTTTATGATCTGGAGTCAAGTAAGTGATTGTCTATCAGCATCTTAAAAAAGTTTCTATAATTTGTTTGCTGAGTTGGTGAATGGATTTATTTTTAACTATGTTTTTCTGTTTCTTTATAATGTGATGCAAACCTAACAAAATTTATTTTTATATACAACTGTCACACTGGTTTATTTCACTTATTCCAGGGTAGCTTCGTCCTGATAAGGGTTAGTAAAGCGCCATGAAGATGTTCAGGTTACATGGGGTAGTGTAACCATTAGTCCAGTTGACAAAATCATTTTTCTTCTTTTTTTCTTCCCTGTTTCCCTTCTTCTGTCTCTTGGTTTCCTGTTCTGTTTTCTTTTTGATGTCAGAGAAGAGTGATTAGTGAACAGGGGGATTCCACAGAGCTTTTAGGGTTACTGATCTTTTAGACATTAAGGAAGGTAGAAGGAACAGATGACTCAGTCTCTGTGGCAGTGTGAAGCATCATTCTTCTCTGAAACTACCATGTAGGTAGCCACCTTCTTGTGATGACTTAAAAAGCTTCCCATATCTGAGTGCTAAGCAAAGGTAGGTTTCGTTTTGATTTTGTATTGGCGCAGATCCTTTTCGTTAAGGTTGTAAGTGATTTCAACTCAAAACTAGCCAGGGCACATACAGTAAATTTGCTGCACAGTTTAATACTTCTGGATGGAGACAAGAAGATGATCTAGTACAGATTTATATAAGGTTGTGGGATCTGAAGTTCCCATGGTAATAAATTATTATTTAAGAAAAGCAATGGCAACAAAAGCAAAAATTGACAAATGGGATCTGATTAAACTAAAGAGCTTCTGCACAGCAAAAGAAACTACCATCAGAGTGAACAGGCAACCTACAAAATGGGAGAAAATTTTTGCAACCTACTCATCTGACAAAGGGCTAATATCCAGAATCTACAATGAACTCAAACAAATTAACAAGAAAAAAACAAACAACCCCATCAAAAAGTGGGCGAAGGACATGAACAGACACTTCTCAAAAGAAGACATTTATGCAGCCAAAAAACACATGAAAAAATGCTCACAATCACTGGCCATCAGAGAAATGCAAATCAAAACCACAGTGAGATACCATCTCACACCAGATAGAATGGCAATCATTAAAAAGTCAGGAAACAACAGGTGCTGGAGAGGATGTGGAGAAATAGGAACACTTTTACACTGTTGGTGGGACTGTAAACTAGTTCACCCATTGTGGAAGTCAGTGTGGCAATTCCTCAGGGATCTAGAACTAGAAATACCATTTGACCCAGCCATCCCATTACTGGGTATATACCCAAAGGACTATAAATCATGCTGCTATAGAGACACATGCACACGTATGTTTATTGTGGCACTATTCACAATAGCAAAGACTTGGAACCAAGCCAAATGTCCAACAATGATAGACTGGATTAAGAAAATATGGCACATATACACCATGGAATACTATGCATCCATAAAAAATGATGAGTTCATGTCCTTTGTAGGGACATGGATGAAATTGGAAATCATCATTCTCAGTAAACTATTGCAAGGACAAAAAACCAAACACCGCATATTCTCACTCGTAGGTGGGAATTGAACAATGAGAACACATGGACACAGGAAGGGGAACAGCACACTCTGGGGACTGTTGTGGGGTGGGGGGAGTGGGGAGGGATAGCATTAGTATATATATCTAATGCTAAGTGACGAGTTAATGGGTGCAGCACACCAGCATGGCACATGTATACATATGTAACTAACCTGCACATTGTGCACATGTACCCTAAAACTTAAAATATAATAATAATAAAAGAAAAAATAAATAAAATAAAAAAACATATATTTACCATCAAAAAAAAATTAACAAGCATATAAAATAGAAAAAAAAAGAAATCATTGGGTTATTCTGTTGAATAAGTAATCTAAAGGATATGCATAGACATAAGCAACAGAGTTATGCTGTAGTTCAACTTGATGTATCTTTTCAAGTTTTAAAAGACAGCAAAGTATTCAAATTTTCTTGTTATATTACTGCTAGGTAAATAACATCTGTTACCATGGGTTTTACTCTTCACATTAGCCCTACTCAGTACTAGTGTCATACACATGACCTTAAGTGAAATGCTCTCACATGTTATTAATTGACCTGTTGTATCCTTTCAGCCTTAACACCCCATTTGTGGTATGATTGAAAATGATATTTAAGGGGGTAGTATTGGCGTTAGAACTTTTCTTCTTCTTTTGTTTTAGAACCATCTCCTTCTGTTTGGGTTGATGCCACATCATATCTTGTTTTTTGTCTTTGTTTTTTGGAGATGGAGTCTCTCTTTTTGTCCAGGCTGGAGTGCAGTGGCGCGATGTTGGCTCACTGCAACCGCCACCTCCTGGGTTCAAGTGATTCTCCTGCCTCAGCCTCCCGAGTAGCTGGGATTACAGGCGCACACCACCACGCCCTGCTGATTTTTATATTTTTAGTAGAGATGGGGTTCCACCATGTTGGCCAGGCTGCTCTCGAACTACTGACCTCAAGTGATCTGCCCGTCTTGGCCTCCCAAAGTGTTGGGGTTACAGGCGTGAGTCACGGCGCCAGGCTCCTTTATCTTGTTTATTCAACTCAGATAACTTGAAGTTGAAATTGCTGTGCTTGATCCCTGTTCTATTCATGATGTACTAGCCATATGACAAATTTAACCTATTTGAACTTTATCTGAACTTTTTAGTTCTTATTTTCTGTCTTTTTGCCTTAGAGGTGATGCTGTTTATTAGTTTAGTCATGACCTAGTTGTAAATTATTTCATGGAAAAGTCTGCTTAAGTTTACTGACTTAATAAGAACTGATAATTGTTTGTATGTGTGTACAGAATGATGTAGAAAATCTGGTAACACACAATCTCAGTGATTTTGGTTTTAATGCTTTTTCATATATGTGCGTACTTATGTTTTGATAGGTGTTTGATCTTACATTGCAGACAAAATTTGGCAGAATTTAATTGATAACATATGCATCATATTTAGTTGTCAAAAGATAAAACAATATGTATTTGCTCTTTGTCAAAATCCAATGTAAGGTAGGAAATATCTGGTTTAACAGCCAGCATTGAACACTTGAAAATTATCCTTCAGAAGTTTACTTTGAGATTGTGCTATTTATTTTCTCTTTAAAAAAGATATTAACAAACTGACTGAAGATAAGAAAGAGGGCCTCAGGCAACTCGTAATGACATTTCAACATTTCATGAGAGAAGAAATACAGGATGCCTCTCAGCTGCCACCTGCCTTTGACCTTTTTGAAGCCTTTGCAAAAGTAAGTGTTAAGTTTGCTCTTTGCTAATTCCATACATCAACCATTTGCTCCTTATTTTGTTGTTAGTTACAAAAATGTCGAGAATCTTGACAGGAAATTCAAGACCCTTAATGCCTTATATTACTTCCTTATCATAGTGAGTAGAGCATGAGAGAATGTATTGTGTGCATTGAGAAGGGTATGAATTTTTCTGTTTGATTAATATTCTTGTTATTGCCTGAGTATGTTCATTGTGAATTCTCAAAGTGTACCCTTGGAAGAAAGAGTATGCTTTCTTTTCTCAGAAGAAAATAGCATATCCCATTATTTTTTGTGAATGGACTTGTTTGCCGTTGCATTGCATTCATTGAGTTTTATGGTGGTTGTTTAAGCATAGAGCCTGTCTTTGAAATGAAAAATTTATTGAAATCCATTTCTTTTCTTTTCTTTTTTGTTTTTAGACAGAGTCTCGTTCTGTCACCCAGGCTTGAGTGTAGTGGTGCGATCTCGGCTCACTGCAATCTCCGCCTCCCAGAATCAAGCGAGTCTCATGCCTCAGCATTCTGAGTAGCTGGGATTACAGGCATGAGCCACCACGCCCAGCTAAATTTTGTTTTTTTTTTTTTGTTTTTGTAGAGACGGATGGTCTTGAACTCCTGACCTCAGGTGATCCACCCGCCTCGGCCTCCCAAAGTGCTGGGATTACAGGCGCGAACTGCCACGCCCGGCCTCCTGAAGTATTTTTTTTTTTTTTAAATGATTCCGAGGGTTTATCTTGGCCTAGGGAGGAAGAGTGCGATGATTGATTTTTTTTTTTCTTCACTAGCCCATAGGCATGAAATGATTGCTTCTTGATATTTACCCTGGGATAGGGATGACAGAAACACCCCCTCACTGCTATGGATCTGCTGTCCTCGCTTTCTCACATTGTGTGTTTGCATTTGTTTTAATGTTGATCACAATTTAATAACAAGTAAAACTTTACTTTTGACAATTTTGCCACTTATTTTGTAATTTGTAAGCACACGTTTGAAGATATATTTATGCCATTAATATTTTAAGGCATGTTTTAAAATTTACTGTTTTCTGAAAAATTAAATGTAATTGGTTTGATTGCTGGAGATTTATTCCAGTTTTTCTCAAATGTATTTTTATTCTGTATGGTACATTTTTATGATTTTCTGATTAATGTCATCTTAGCATTATATTCTGGTTATCTATAATTTAAAATTGATTTCAAAATTTACTGATTTCTTACAGTGCATCTGAAAACTTTCTCATCTATTTCATATGCTTCTGAAAATTATAACCTGTAGTAGTATCGTGTGCCGTGCCCAAGGCTGTTTTCATGTTCAACACTATAAACACGAACACCTACTGAAAGATAAAAATATACCTTATGATGATTATTACCTCATTCCTAGTGTTAAGTTTGTGGCTATTCTGTGGTAATTATTTCTATTGTTGGAAAATGTTCCAGTGATAATTACTGATGTTATTAATATCCATGAAAAATATTTTAAAATACTTTCTGTTGCTACATGTAAAATGTGAATTACTATCCTAGTTCTTCTTTCTTTCTGAAGATTTTAGTCTCATGTATTTTATAATGAAATTATCTCCATGTTGTATAGGGGGAAAATTCTGTTGCTATGATTAAGTGTACCAATTTTTAATATAATGCTTACCCTTCTCCCCACATAATATTTGTTATTGCTAGAAAATACACAGTTTTGAGATTTTTGGGCATAATTGGCCTTAGTGTGTCACTTCTGCATTAAAATATAGGTTAATAATCAGATGAAAGCAGCCAATAACCTATGGCTTCTGTACTTTCTGGTGAAAGTTTTGTTAATGTTTTTAATTTGTATTTTTCTGCTTATAAATTTGTCCTTAAATCACTCCCCTCCTTCCCGCCCCCCCAACTCCTTCTCCCTCCTTCCCGCCCCCCCGACTCCTTCTCCCTCCTTCCCGCCCCCCGACTCCTTCTCCCTCCTTCCCGCCCCCCGACTCCTTTTCCCTCCTTCCCGCCCCCCCGACTCCTTTTCCCTCCTTCCCGCCCCCCCGACTCCTTCTCCCTCCTTCCCGCCCCCGCGACTCCTTCTCCCTCCTTCCCGCCCCCCGACTCCTTCTCCCTCCTTCCCGCCCCCGCGACTCCTTCTCCCTCCTTCCTGCCCCCCGACTCCTTCTCCCTCCTTCCCGCTCCCCCGACTCCTTCTCCCTCCTTCCCGCCCCCTGACTCCTTCTCCTTCCTTGTTCATGAAAGATCCTAAATTAACCTAAATAGATCCTGCAGCTTTCAGGGATGAGTCACTGAGCCCAGAATGTTGACGGTGTGTGATGGTGCAAGTCACATCAAGCACACGGGAACTGGGTGAAGATCCCTGGGCAGAGATTTTTATCCCAGTCTACTGCTCCTCTCCTCATTTTACTCTGGTATAAAATTAATTAATCAAAGAGAAGAAACGGGCACCATAAAAAAATAACATAAAACAGGATTTTGTTTATTGAGGCCAGGTAAAGCCAGCCTTCTTCACAGCGAAAATTCAAAAGTCAGTTCATTAGGCTGTGGAAAGCGGGTCAACATGCAACTATCCCTGACTGACAGTTTGTACATACAGAGGAAGCTGCTGACTTCTGAATTTACGCTGTCAACAAGGCTGGCTATACCTGGCCTCAATAAACAAGATCTTGTTTTTTGTTTTTCTTTTGGTTCCTCTCATTTACATTCATTCAGGTTCTGTGCAGATAATAGACATACTAAGCTTATGTTTTAGCCCATCTTTTTTTTTTTTTTTTTTTTTTGAGATGGAGTTTTCGCTCTTGTCGCCCAGGCTAGGGTGCAGTGGCGCAACATCGGCTCACTGCAACCTCCGCCTCCCGGGTTCAAGCGATTCTGCTGCCTCAGCCTCCCAAGGAGCTGGGATTACAGGCGCCTGCCACCACACCTGGCCAATTTTTGTATTTTTAGTAGAGACAACGTTGCACCACGTTGGCCAGGCTGGTCTCAATCTCCTGACCTCGGATGATCCGCCCGCCTTGGCCTCCCAACGTGCTGGGATTACAGACGTGAGCTACCGCACCCGGCCAGTTTTAGACCATCTAATTTTCATTGAAAGGCATATGGAATTCTGAGAGCTTTTCTAAAATTGCTTATGTCTTAATTTTTTTGACTTTTAAATTATGGACATTTTCAAACACACACAAAAATAGAGGGACTAGTAGAATGAATCTTCATGTTTCTATCAGCTGGTTTCCCTAATTTTCAGACTCATTTTATATCTGTCATTTTTAATACTTACAGTTCACACAGATGTTCTTTCTCTTCGGAGTTTTAAACCTTCATTAGAATTAGTCTTTTCTTACCAAGTCTCTTGCCCTGCTGAGAGGTGTTTGTTAGTTGAATCTGAATTTGCTTAGCAAGTACAGCAGACTTTTATTTATTTATTTGCAGGTCTAGTGTGTACAAAATACTCTTGACACAGGGTTGTAGAAGTATGTGGCTAATTCTAAATCTCAAAATTATCTATCAAGGCAGAAAACTTCAGCAGGTCAAAAGTCTTACTTGAAGAATATGCATATCTTTATCAAACTTGCACTTCCCCTGAAAGGAAAGGGCTCAGGGAGGATGAGAAAGTTCTTAATCCCGAGAGCATATTTCGTCGTCTGGTGAGCTGATGGCTTTTTCTAATGGAAGCTCATGATTATTGCCTGAAAAGTTGGCAGTTTGTATTTTGAACACTGGAGTTTCTGGCGGAAAAATGGTGTGTCTTTCCTGTCGGACCGGGTTCTCAATGCTGAACGTGCATCTGCTGCGTAAGCCTTAATTTTACCTGGAAAATTTCTTCTGTTACTTGTAATTTTCCCGGTCATATTCCCAGATATTCCTCCTTTTCACCCCACTTCTTAGCACCAGTGTTAGTCTGACTCTGACTCTTAGCACCAGTGTTAATACACACACACCCTAATAGCAATTGGAGTTTGATTGTGGAGTTTTCTATATAGATATATCCTGTCCACTTATGAATTTGTTGCCTGGCTGTAAAAACTGAGTAACATGAGCCATAGGAAGGAGGAATTTTTCTAGGGGTGGGTGTCAAGGAGGACCTCATATCAGAAGTGGAAACTGACGTAAATTTCAAAAGCGAGGCTGGTGTTGGGAAACAGTGATATACAGTGGTCTAGAAATGCTGTTGGGGAGTGAGGGTGTTGATTCCTCCAACCTCCTGAGGGAAATATATCAACCTCCTCCGGAGAAGGTTTTCAAAGGAAGTTGTTACCTGTGGAATACAGATTTCAGTTATATTTAGTAATTACAGTAGAGTTAGAATAAGAGCTTGATGTTTAAAATGTTTGTTTTGCACTAAATGTAATAGAAAGTGAGGGTAGGGATACTCCCAGAATTTCTCTAGAGGAGGGGATGCTGAGTGATAATCTGTTGGATGGAGAGGCTAGAGCAAATTACTTGCAGCTTTATTTGGATAGTTTTGTTTTTTTTAAAAAACTTAGATTGTATGTTCCCTGGGGAGTGTGTGGCTGAACGGAGATAAAAGTGTAAAGTGTGAGCAATGAAAGGTGTTAATTTCCACAGACAGCAATGAAGGTGTTGAAAGGATAGGAAGTGCACCGGGGATATACAGATGAACACAGGAGATGTGATTATTTATATGCATATAAAAAATAAAGGCCAATTTCATCTCTGCTGGCTCTTTTTCACATTGTTTAGAGAAGAGAAGATGTATGTCTCCATCTCTACAAGCTGTTTCTCCTCTCTACCACACACTTTTTTTTTTTTTTAAATCTCCACTTCCATTTTCAAACAAAATTTCCTTTGAGATTTTTTTCCCCCTCTTTGGGAATAGGGTCTCACCCTGTTGCCCAGGCTGGAGTGCAGTAGCGTGATCTCGGCTCACTGCACCTCTGCCTCCTGGCTTTCAAGTTGAGTCTTGTGCCTCAGCCTCCTGAGTAGCTGGGATTACAGGCATGCGCCACCACACCGGGCTAATTTTTGTATTTTTAGTAGAGATGGGCTTTTGTCATGTTGGCCAGGCTGGTCTCAAACTCTTGACCTCAAGTGATCCACCCACCTTGGCCTCTCAAAGTGCTGGGATTACTGGTGTGAGCCACCCCACCCAGCACCTGTTAGATTTTGAAATGGATTTATTGGTCAGGCACAATGGCTCACTCCTATAGTCCTAGCACTTTGGTATGCCGAGGCAGGAGGATCACTTGAGCCCAGGAGTTTGAGATCAGCCTGGGCAACATAGCGAGATGCCATCTTTACAAAAAAACTTAAAAAAAAAATTAGCTGAGAGCAGGGTGGTACACACCTGTAGTTCCAGCTACTTGGGAGGCTGAGGTGGGAGGATTGCTTGAGCCTAGGAAGTCGAGGCTGCAGTGAGCTGTGATCTCACCACTGCACTCCAGCCTGGACTACAAAGTGAGACCCTGTCTCAAAAAAATTTATCATGGCATGACAAATGCTGTGATTCGGTGTACTGATTGGGTCCGAAACATTTGCTACAAATATAGAAAATGTATATACTCCTAAGCATAAATATATCCTTCGAAACTCAGAAAATTACAATTAGCTACTCGGTGTGCTGAGATGGGAGGATTGCTTGAGCCCCGGAGTTTGAGACTGCAGAGAACCATGAGTGCTGCTTGGGGGACGGAGTGAGACCCCAACTCAAAACAAACAAAAATTACAGTTAGAGAGAGGCCAAATTTAAATGGGAGGCTGAATAATATGATGGTTAGGTCATTTTCCTCAGTCAAGTAAATAAAATTCTCTCCATCTCAATTTTCTTATCTGTAAATGGAAATACTAATATCTACTTCATAGATTTCAAGGAGGATCAACTATAACGTACTTAGTAGTGTCTGACACATATTATTAATTTCTACTACTGTTGCTCCCACCTCTCAGCTTTATTTTTATTGGATTATAGAACTTTGGTGTTTTAAATCTCCCTGTGCTGTCATCTAGCCAAGAGCGCAGTCTGCCACTGTTTGTAAACTAGAGTCTCAGATGGTTGCTCACAGTTGTGCCCAGTGCTGGTGTCTCTTGAGATCCTGAGAATTACCTGTTTTGTTGAGAAGAAATTTTGCAAACAGGCAATGGTGTCTTTTCTTGAGGCTTAGTTTCAGTCATAGCCATTGTGGACAGAAATCATGTACTGTTGCCAACATTCTTAGAAACTCCATGGTATCAAAGTAGTTTCTTGGAATTTCACGTGGGAAATGTAAAAGTAGGCTTCCCTTGATGATGGAAATCTTTCTCACACATGCATCTTAAAAGGATGGAATTAAGCGTGCTTCAGTTGTCATGTTCTAATTAATTGAAACGCCATGGAATGTATTGTATTTCTCTATTCTATCCCTTAAAATGTCCATTGATAATTATTGGCAATGGTTATTGATAGTCTCAACGTAATTTCAGTAGAATTTGTTTTGAGATTTTTTTTATGCACATAAAAGATTTCTTTAGGGATTATTGTACAGAGTTCTAGAAAAATATATAATTTTTTTTTCTGGGCTTATAACTTTCTTTTCTAAAAATTTATTTGGCAGCCTGATTAGAAATGTGGTAAAATCTGAACAATAAAATAGAAAATAGACTAGTTGCATAGAATGTTTCAAAAACAGGCATTAGATTGGCGGCAACAAGAATAAAAGTGACCTTCCTGACCACAGAACATATGCCATTGTTAGTGTTTCCGGAGCTCTGCAAAGTACTGCTGAACTTTATAATGTTGTGCAACTGCCACAGAATTTTTTTGATTAGAAATTCCACATCTGTTTGAGAAGATGTTCTCTCCTTCTTTCTTTCAAATTAATAATTCTCCTGGTAGCATGTTATTTTTGTTCTTTAGGGCACGTATGTGACCTCCGGAGCTTGCTTTTCCAAAATCTAATTTTTAATTATATTAGCTGTAGCTGGTTTTGCAATATGTACTGGTTGCATAGATTGGAAAGTGAGTATTTTAGAGGGTGTTTTTGGTACTATGATATTTAAATTTTACAGTTTCATTCTGAGTAAATTATTTTTTATTGGAGGATTCTTTTTTTTTTAAATTGGAGAAGCTGTGAAGGTGTTAAAACGAGAATCTTACCAATTCACAATACGATAAGAAATCGCGATTTAATATTTTGTGGTATGTTAGAAATAAAGCAAGAGAAAATCGTGATACTATATTCAAGATTACATGCTTGTGTTTGGCCGGTATGTGCCTTTACATTTAGAGTGATCATAAATAATGGATGTGATATTCTGCTATAACCTCCCTCATAATTTTAGTGAAGTATATAAATCAGCATGGAGGGAAAATTACTAAATGACTTTTTTGTGTATCCTTTTCATCCTCTGGTGAACAGTGTACCTCAATAAAAAGCGAGAACAAAGTTGATCATGTTATATTCAGCTTTTAAGCTTAAATTTTCAGTTCTGTTAACCATCTCATTCTGGATACACTGGTGCTCTGTTACTTCATTGTTGTTGGTGGGCTAATTTGTGGGAAGAGTATTACCTCTGTTGTTTTGAAAGGTCAGGAGTGTGTATATGTTTGTCACTTGAGGGTTTCAAGTTCATGTAGGACCAGATTTTAGAGCCTTTTTTGTTGATGAGCTCTGTTGGGTTTCACTGCTGTAGCCTGCTATAAGGTAGTAAAGAAAGCAATCTTTTGAATTAATAAAGTGATGGATTATCTAATTACAAAGTTGATGTGAAATGGCAGTATGATAACTTTGACTGCATTACTAAATGATCCCAGTGACTGATCAGATGTGCCTGGGTTCCATTAAGGAAAAATATGCCATTAAATATTTAACACTAAAAGCGAGCAGGCACACCAGGATTGCTAACCTCCAGTCACCGGGGTGCTTGTGTGTTTACGTGTGGTGGTGACTGCTACATGCCACATCTCTCTACTCTGCTCACAACAGCTGCTAGAATACTTAGCTGTTGGGATTATACTTCTCTTCTGGTGTTAAGTAAAGCAGGCAAACAGCTAGGATGCTTAACTGCATGCAGATCCTGGCATTCTAATTATGAAACGGTGTCATGCATCTATGATTTATATATGTTGTCTTTATTACAACAGATTGAATCTCGAAGTTGATTCAGGAGACAATTATTCTCAGAAATATTTCTCTACCTTCAAATAAAGTGATGTTTGTAGGACACTTGGGCTTTCAAAGAAAACAACTCATTGTTTGGATTTTTAATGATGATATTTGTTTATCGTGTTCTTCATTCGTAGCCATTTGGTTAAATATTTCTTTTCACTTATGTGTTAATAACCTATGATGAGTTGGTGTATATTTATCATAGTTAAAAACCAGATGCCAGCTAAACTTCTGAAGTTGGGAAGGATAATTAGTAAGTTCTTAATCAGCATTTTTGTTTATACCCGTGTTGGTCAAGGTTAATTGCTTATGTAAGGCTAATGCTTTGCTTGAAAGTATTGATGGATAAATGTGTTTGTCAAGCCTTGTTGCTTTATCTATTTAAGTGTATAACTTGCCATTAATGCAGACAGAGGTGATATTTTTTAAATGTCTGTATGACATTATGAAATGGCAAAGGTTACTGTCATTGCTTTGGCTTTTCCTTTAGTGACAACAATCTACTGGAATACTGTGTCTCTCTACTAGAATGCAATTACGTGGAGCCAGGAATTACATCTTATTTATTTTGAATTCCTAGCAACCTTCATTGTATGCAGGAGGTCTTTAATTTTTGACGGATTGAAGGAATGTGAGAAAACAGTATCCCTTTTCCGTTTTGTGGAGCACACTTTGATAAATGTTTTTATATTTTATTTCATTTCATTAAAAAATTATTTTTAAAGACAGGATCTTGCTCTGTCACCCAGGCTAGAGTGCAGTCATGTGATCATAGCTCACTGCAGCCTTGAACTCCTAGGCTTAAGTGATTCCCCTGCCCAGCTGGGACTACAAGTGTGTGCCACCATGCCTTGCTAATATTTTGCTTTACTTTTGTAGAGACAAGGTCTTGCTATGTTGCCCAGGCTGGTCTTGAAGTCCTGGGCTCAAGTGATTCTCCTACCTTGGCCTCCCAGAGGGCTAGGATGACAGACATGAGCCACTACAGCTGGCCCAGATAATGTATTTTTAAAAATTAATACATAATATAAATATATGAGACTTGACAAAAAGAAACACTAATATCATGATAAGATTCAAGAAATCTAGTAATTACTTGATAGCTCTGACTCATAGAGACTGCCATTATACTAAGTTCTTCAAGGAATGATGAATAACTATATTAATTATTCCAGGTTTGAAGAACATTTTTCTCTAAAAGCTCACATTGTAAATATTTAGGCTTTCCAGGCAGGAGACAAAAGTGAGTCACAACTGCCTCATGACAATTTGTAGTGTGTAAAGAGAGTGCTACTTATGGTCTCTGTGGTAGCTGCTTCTTTAAAAAAATTATTTTAAATTGGCAAATAAAAATTATATATATCATGTACAACATGATTTTTTGAAATACGTATATATTGTGGAGTGGCTAAATGGAGCAAATTAACATATGCATTACCTCACATGCTTATCGTGGCAACTCAACTCTGCCATTGTAGCCTGAAAGGCCCCGTGTACAATACGTGAATGAATGGGTGTGGCTGTATACCAAAGAAACATTGACACTGAACACTGATTTTTCATGTAATTTTCACATATTCAAAAATACTCTTTCTATTTCTCCCCAACCATTTAAAAATGTAAGAAAACATCCTTAGCTTGCAGACTGAGCAGGTGGTGGGCCAGATTTGGCCTCTGGGCCTTTATTTGCCAACCCCTGAATTAACATTTGTAAGCTGGAAGGTTTTTTGCACACAATTGGAAATAGGATGTGCTGGGAGAAAATTCTCTACTTAAAAAAGGATCGGAAATACTTTGTTATTTTCTAAAAAGCCATTGGTTCTGTCGGTTTACATTGCTGGTCACATTTCTGAGCACAGTACACACACAGTAATTGTTTTTTGAGTCAATTTTTGTTTTACTCTAAAGCCAATTTAATTCAATAATTTAAAAATGTTTTATCTCAATGGTATAGTAAGAAAACTGCAATTATTTTACTAAAGAGAGAAAGAAATTATAAAATAGAAAAAGCAGGGACTTTATTGTCTTAATATTTTAAACTGTCATTCTTAGCTGTTTCCTTTTTTTTTAAATTTTTATTTTATTTATTTATTTATTTTTTGAGTAGGAGTCTCACTTTGTCACCAGGCTGGAGTGTAGTGGCGTGATCACAGCTCACTGCAACCTCCACCTCCCAGGTTCAAGCGATTCTCCTGCCTCAGCCTCCCGAGTATCTGGGACTACAGGCCGCACACCACCACGCCCAGCTAATTTTTATATTTTTAGTTGAGATGGGGTTTCACCATGTTGGCCAGGATGGTCTTGATCTCTTGACCTTGTGATCCGCTCGCCTCGGCCTCCCAAAGTGCTGGGATTACAGGCATGAGCCACCGTGCCTGGCCTTTAATTTTTAATTTTTTAAAAGACAGGGTCTTGGCCAGCCACGGTGGCTCACGCCTGTAATCCCAGCACTTTGGGAGGCCAAGGTGGGTGGATCACCTGAGGTCAGGAGTTCAAGACCATCCTGGGCAACATGGTGAAACTCCGTCTCTACAAAAAAAAAAAAAAAAAAAACCAAAACAACAAAAATTAGCTGGGCGTGGTGGCTCATGCCTGTAATCCCAGCTACTCAGAATGCTGAGGCATGAGACTCCCTTGAACCTGGGAGGGGGAGGTTGCAGCGAGCTGAGATTGTGCCATTGCACTCCAGCCTGGGCGACAAGAGTGAAACTCTCTCAAAAAAAAAAAAAAAAACCCATGAAGACAGGGTCTTAGTATGTTGCCCAGGCTGACCTCAAACTCCTGGGCTCAAGCAATCTTCCTGCCTCAGTCTCCTGAGTAGCTGAGACTACAGACATGTGCTATCATGCTTTTGGTTCTTAATTAAAGGTGTTATATTTTGTTATTTTGTTTTGAAATGAAACATAAAGATAAAATTTTCTATTAGAAATATTGTGGTTATGTAACTCAGGTTCAAAGTTTTTGTTTGATTTTTCTTAGATTGTGGATTATTGCCCTCAAACTTTAAATTATGATTTGGCTGTTTCTATTGCAAATAAGAAGGACCTTTCATGGGAGGAAAAAACAAATATGTTTTAGAGATATAATATTAAGAGTGATGAAAAACTGTGATAAACTGCTCTATTAAATTTTGTAATAGGCAGAAACAGAGTGTTTTTTTTAGGGGCAAAAATCAGACATTGCCATTTGATGTGGAAAATAAGATGACTTGGTATATCATAAAGGTAAGCAGGCGAGTTTGGGGATGGCTTCGCCAAACCAGATTCTTTTAAAGCATCTTAATCAAAGAGGAAGAGTCTTCCTTCTATCTTCAAAAGTTGATTTTCATTACAGTTTCTGTGTTTAGTACCTAATGTTACATGTTTAAAGAGACATATTCAAATAAATGTCTATTTACAAAGCATGATGAAGAAAGGACAAAAATACTGTTTTATTATCTAGAAGAGCTTTATAACCAGAGCGTTCCAACAACGTATCAGCGTGTCCTGGTACAGCTGGAAGCTACTTCTTCCTGGAAGAGTTTCACTGAGGATTAGAATTACGTGTCAGGATGGGTTGTCTCTATAAGGTAGGCCTAGATGATATGTAAACTGCTCTTTGAATTTGTGAGTTTGTGATATTTCTGGTGCATCATGGAAGGGTGTAGTTTATCTTCCCTCGCCCTCTCTATTGAGGTCCTGCTTATTCTTAAGGTTTCTACTCAGATCTTTGGTGAAATCTACTTGGTTAGGATTGAGCTTTCCCTTTTGTAAAATCAGTAGTCACTGTTATTTTCTATGCCAAGCATTTGACAACTGTGACTATCCCCTACTTTCTAAGTTGTCTGTCCTTTTTTCTTAGGTTCCCACTTAGACTATAAATTTCATGAAAATAGGTCATGTGTCCCCATTTTCTTCCTTAAGCAAAATAAAATTATACAACTTTAGGGCTGAAGAGATCACAGAAACTCTCTGATACCATAGCCTTCCCATTTTTTCTCCTCTCCCTTTCTCCAGAATACATCAGTTGTGGCTTAGAGAGGGGGAAGTAGTCACCCAGTGACAGGAAGAAAGCTAGAACTGAAGTCTTCTGAGTTCTGTCTAATGCCCTTTCTGTTAGTTGATGCCCAAGTGCTCAAGAACTTAGCTGCTAAGTTGAAGTGAAAATGTGATACAGCAAACAGAAGTTAAATTACAGACAACCTTTCAGCAATATCTGTTTCTTATATTGAAGCCTATCTGTGTAAAGGCAGAAAATTAAAAATAAGTTACAGAATAGTATCGTTCGACATTTGAAACTAGATTAGCTTGTCTAATGATGAGTTTCAATTCAGAGATTCTGTATGTCCGTGTTTAAATGATTTTGGCTTCCCAAACCAGCTGTCTGCCTTCCCTTCAGATAACTCAGTTATAAACAGAACTGCTGTATTACATATTTGAGTATGTGGATTTGTCTTGTATTTCCCATTTTTTGGCCCATACTTTCCAGGAAGCAAATGAGTATTAGACACTGGTACCTGTCTTACATCAACAGATCAAGGGACAATTGGCGGATTGATCACAAGTTTCCTAGTGCCGCACTCCTTTGTTTTAATTTTTTATTCTACCAAGTACTTTAATGTGTACTTTCACATTATCTTCTATAGTAGCCCTCTGAGTTATGGGTATCGTGCCTTTGTAGATGAGAAAGTGCGTAAGGTCACACTATATTTAAGTAAAAGAGACAGAGCTTTAACATGGCTTTCTTCATTCCAGAGTTCTTATTTTCTGCATTCCACCATACTGCATTCTGTGTTATATTAGTTCTCTGTTAGAGCCCTAATTATGGACCATTATAAGCCTTAGCAAAATCCAGAATGATGGAAATAAGAATATTTGATAATATTCTCTAATACTAAAGTATTGCTCTAGGCAAAACTGTAAATTATTTAATCAGGATTTCTGCTATTTTTATCCAGGTGGTACATCATGCCTTACATACCTCTGTCCTTCATATATTCAAATCTAAATAAATGCTGGTAGTTTGAGTGGGAGGAGGGTGGATTATTCATGTCAAATGATTCTGTGCTGATGTTGCCACAACTGTATGTGAAAATAAAGATAATTGACATGGAATTTGCATGGAGTTAAGGTACCTTTTGAAATCTGCATTCTACAATCTTTTAGTACTGCATATTAAAACATTAATTATTCAGGAGCCCTCCAGATTGAGTCTTTATCATTTTCAAGCCATTATTGGGTGTGCTTTTCCCTATGATTCTATAGATACATGCATTTATAGATTTAAACATTTTCTATGCTATAAACTATATATGCAGTGTATAAGAAAATACTCTTTGGCCTTATTAACACCTCTTTTTCTTTTAGTGATATTTATTTGACCTTAACATTTATACTTGATATTAATGACATAGGCAAATAATTTTAAAATGTTGTTTTTGAATAAATACTTGTCAAGTAAAAGAAAAGCATTAGAGCTACATGTGACCAGACTTGGCAGTCATGGGCGCTATTTCAAGTTTTGATTGACATTTGGTTTTCGTTTTGATGCTTATAGGAAAAATTTATCAAGACACTGTTTATGCAGAGCTGTTTAATTAGGATCACCTGAATTAGGATCAGAATTAAAAATATCCTTAATAGAATTTCCTTTCCTTCCCCGATGGGTGGCAGCATTTTCTTCAGCCAATACAGCATCTGCAGAGGCGTGTGTGACTTGCTGGTTGGTGTCCTAGGGTCTGTTTTTCCTCCTTCACAATCATTCAGTGGCTGTGGGTCTTTCAGGTTAGAGCAGAAGTTGGTAAGGTATATTGTTTGGGGGCCTCAAAAGTCTTCTGTAATAAGAAGTGACTATACTGTGGGTTTTCTTGTTTCCCATTTGGCCAAGATTTTATGGAACAATACCCACTTTGCCCAGGTGCAGTGGCTCACACATGTAATCCCAGTCCTTTGGGAGGCCGAGGTGGGCAGATCGCTTGAGCTCAGGAGTTGGAGACCAGCCTGGGCAACATGACAAAACCCATCTCTACAAAAAATACAAAAATTGTGGTGGCTCATGCCTGTGGTCCCAGCTACTTGGGAGGCTGAGGTGGGAGGATCGCTCGAGCCTGGGAGGTAGAGGTTGCAGTGAGCCGAGAACGTGCCACTGCATTGCAGCCTGGGTAATAGAGCGAGACTCGGTCTCAAAAAAACGAAAAACAAACAAACCAAAACCAACAATACCCACTTAAATCTCAAGGTATGCAGATTTGAGGTGTGATAGTGTTTAACCTTCGGAAGTCTTTTAACCTGCTCATCATTGTCCTTCTGCCTGTCTCACCAGTTTGTTTTAAAAGTTATTTGCTGATTTGTCTCTGGTTACCTGTTGAATGACAATATGGTGCTGCCATGGCTTTACTTGCCTGCCTGTGTTTCTGAGCTCATCCCATATTTTCTATATACCAACAAAAATCTTCATCTATGTGACCTGGTTTTACTTCAGATTCGTCGTGTGCAGTGCCTAAACTCTGCCTTTTCTTCCGCACAGCATACTGCTTCTCCACCTTTGCTGTCTTCTCTCTTGACGTTGCAATCTCCTGAGCCAGCCGTGCCAGGAATATCAGGAATACCTCTGATTCTTCCCCCAAACTTCTGTATGCCCTGCTTATGCTGCTTTTAAAGATCTCTTGACTCTATTGTTTTATTTTTATATTGTTTTGTCACTGTCCCAGTTATTATTAAAATCCTTCCGATCTCACCTAAATGGCCTCTAACTCATATCCTTGCCTCTCACTGTTTCCCTGAGTCTCAATTCATTTTTATATTTTGCCATTAGAGATAATTGAAAAAAAACCCAGATTTGATCATTTAATCTCTTGCAAAAAGATGTCTGTTGATTCCCTACTGCCTTTGTATGAAATCAAGGCTTTTAAGTATGGCATTTGAGGACCCTGCAAGCTTCATCTCATGCCACGTTCCTGGAGCTGGCTGACTGCTTGCATAGACTGCAAGCAGCTTGAGGGTCGTAACCATTTTCCTAGCACCTGGTGTAGTGACAAGTAGATTGCGGAGATTCAGTGAGTGTATGCTTTTCCTCCATGGCTTGCATTATGCTTTCAGTCCTTCCCATTGTTGCATTGCCTTTATGCCTCCATTCCTTCACGTTGCATTGTCACTTACATTACGTTTTAGCTCCTTCCCATTGTTGCATTGCCAGTGTGTTTCTTCAAGCCACCAAAGCTTGACGATGCCTGCCGCACTGTTGCTATGACATTAGCAAACTAATGTCCATAGGGTATTTCTCTAGATATAGATGTCTGTAGGGTATTTTTCTAGATAGGGAATTATTTTTGAAAGGCTGGGTATTTTTGAACCAATTCGTAAAGCTGCTCATATACACGAAGGAGGGTCATGAAAGCAAATGACAATTCAGCAAGGCCTAGTTATGGCTGGGGTGTGTGTGCGTGTGTGTGCGCGCGTGCGCGTGTGTGTATGCGTGTCACGCGTGTGCGTGTGCGTGTGAGTGTTCAAGGAGGGTGGTTCCTAAGGCTAATGAGCTTCTACCTGTAAGTTATTCTGATTTGGTAGAAATGTAGCTTTGAATAATAATCATTAGCAGTAGCTGAGTGGGCTTGTGCTTTGTCAACACTGCTGAGTTTGATAATTAGATGATTACAAGGATGTGATGACATTTTGTAAATCCTTTCCTGGAGATATCTATATGAGTTTGCTAATCATTATGGCAGGCTTCTAGCTTTTCTTTAGAGCAATGATGATGCTACAAAGATTTTTTTTGTGCTGAAAATATTTTCCTTGTATCAGTAAGATTTGGATGATATTTGTCACTTTCTGCCACCTCAGAGTCAGCAAGGAGAATCTTGCAAAGTATTTAGCATTTTGTGGAAACAAGACATTATGTTCTGTATAGTTAAAAATTATCTTTTAGTTTATTGGAGTGGAAGGGCATTTTCTCCATGACAAGGAAGGTTTAAACTTGCATCATCTTGGTATTTAAAAGTTCTTTTGAAAACAACTCATGTTTTCAATTACAAAATAATATAGAGCTCTCAGTCAGTGTGATCATTCTATAGAGTGTGATCATTCCATAGGTCACATATTTACTAACAGTCTTCAGTATTAGTTGAGTAGGCTCTTTAAAGCCTTACTGTTAGGCCAGGTGTGGTGGGTCACGCCTGTAATCCCAGCACTTTGGGAGGCCGAGGTGGGTGGATCACGAGGTCAGGAGTTCGAGACCAGCCTGGCCAACATGGTGAAACCCCGTCTCTACTAAAAATACAAAAGTCAGCCAGGCGTGGTGGCACATGCCTGTAGACCCAGCTACTCGGGAGACTGAGACAGGAGAATTGCTTGAACTTGGGAGGCAGAGGTTGCAGTGAGCCAAGATCGCGCCACTGCACTCCAGCCTGGGTGACAGAGGTAGACTCCCTCTCAGAAAAAAAAAAAAAAAAAAAAAAAAGCCTTACTCTTTGTCCTTTCCCCTAAAACTCAGGATTCCTTTTCTTCTTCCAAGCTTTGCTCGTACAGTTTCTTCAGCTCTGCCTGGCAAATTTCGTTTAAACATGGTGCCTTTTCTAGGAAACCTTTCACAACTCTCTTAGACATGTCCATTAGGACAGGAATGGGAAAGCAGAAGTGTAAAATATAAGTGGGTAAGAGAAAGGGCAGCAACTTCCATTATTTTGCTCCTCCAGTTAGGTGCTAGTATCTTAAGCTGGCCATTTCATCACTAATGGGAAGAGCTAAAAGCTCCAGTCCATCAGGATTGAATGGCTGCTGAAAATGAATGTCAGTGTCTCACCTCCAGACATTTTGGAGCTCTTTTCTTCCAGTCTATTCGTGTCATTCTCTCTTTTCAGGTAGACTTGCCTCCGATTTCTCTTGTCCTCTATGAAGAATCAAAGGATTAATGGTTTCTGAAAAAAGCAGGTCTTGTTCATTGGAGCTGCCAAGTTACTAATTACTTCTAATTATCTTTATAGCAAAATGATAAACATAGAATTCAGTGCTGTATTGTACAGCAAATTTTTTTCCTGAAAACATTGCTTATAATGTTTATAAATAATATACCAGGTTATATTAACTAGGAAAATTTAGAGTTTAACAGGGTTCTATTATGAACCTTTTTGTGGAAGAAGATTTATTTTGGCAAGCTCATTGCTCTGTCTTAAAAACCTAGATTTCCTCATGTAGTGTCTGGTATTCCATAAAGTAAAGCTCATTTGCAGTCAGTTAAATCTTTTTCTTTTTTCTTTTGCAGAGACAAATCATTTTTTAAATGGAGTTCACCAGATTCTTAGGGCCTATTTGAACTTATATTTCTAGAATTGGGTGGGATCTGCCTTTCTAAATTATAATTCATAGGAAGAGTGCTATGGAATTGGCTAGTAAAGACTCTTGGCCGTGAAGGCAATGTCTCAGCAAGTGGCTTCCTCTTTTCTAAAACCTCATTAGTGTCCTTGGGAGCATTTCATTGATAAATACCTATCCCACAGTCCAGCTTGCTTTTTTCTGAATGTAATTTCAAAGCCCGGTAACTTCAGTAGATTTTTTTGATTGACCACAGTAGACACAGAGTATGAGAAACAAAATAGAATCCTCAAACTTTCTACCTGGTAAACAGAGGAAGTAAGGATAGTGTTTTCAGGGGCATTCATTTTCAGGCAGCCATTCAGTTCTGACATGTTTGATGTATTGGAGTTTTTGGTTATTCTATTCCTGTTTGTGGTGAACTCTCTAGTTCACTATACCTTCGTCTGGCTGGAGGAGTATGATAATCCAAGTGCCTGCTTTTATTTTCTTGTCTGCATGTATTTTATATTTCTGTTTTCCCATCCATGGCATAATGTGATCATGTATTTTGATAAATGCATTGTTTTGCTAGAATTGTAGCCTAGTCTGTGAAATGAAAATTAAATGAGAATTAAACTTTTTTTTAACAATTAAGCTTTTTTTAACTTTTTTTTAGTATTGCTAGTATTAAACTTTTTTTCACAATTAAAAAATACATATTGGTTTTGGAGGCACCTTTGATGTTCTACTAATTATATTAATACAGAACGGATGCTTCTTAAAAACTTTTAGTGCAAATAAGCTTTTAAAATCTTAGTATCTTAGGCACATAAGTAATTTTCATTTTTTAGATGGATAATAAAATCTTACTATCTTAGGCACAT
Source organism: Homo sapiens (assembly GCF_000001405.40). Lineage (NCBI taxonomy): Eukaryota > Metazoa > Chordata > Mammalia > Primates > Hominidae > Homo > Homo sapiens. Next base: position 246,308,944 of record NC_000001.11, on the reverse strand, counting down.
AAGTAATTTTACATTTTTTAGATGGATAATAAAATCTTACTATCTTAGGCCTGTGAGTCATTTTACATTTTTTAGATGGATACTAGTTTAGGTGCCCATTTTGATGTTGTTTTTAAAAATACTGACCTTACAGTCCTTTCCATCTTTATTTTTGAGTGACAGCAGAATCCCGAGTATAAGAAAATGTGATTAATTCTCCCATATTGAAGTCATTTAATCATGCTTTGCCTAACAGCTGCTTTCTATTCAGTACACTGAACATAAAATTCTGGAGTGCCTTTGTGCTATCATAAATTGTAAATGTGAACCATTCTTCCTCTTAAGTATCATATGGTATTGCTGTTTTGAATTTGTCAGTTTGGTAGGGGGTTTTTCTAGAGATTGCTGTTGTAGTCGGCTAGGAGGGCCTTCTTCTGGGACGAAACTCTCTCCCTCATTCTCTATATCACTGTGATATTTAGTATTATATTATTATAATATTTAGTATTATTTGTTTGCAGTAAAGAAGTGGGGGAAAATTGGTTTGACTTGTCATCCTTTTATTTCTATGGCATATTGAAAAAGTGGACAAATAGGGCCAAAACAAAGCAGTGGGATTCTTACTTGGCTCTTTTAGGTCAGAAAGAACCAGTTTAATAAATTTCAGTTCAACAAATTTGTACTGACTCTATTCACAGCACCATGTGGAGAAATAAGGATAATTAAGACTTCATTTCCGCCCTGTCTGGTAGGATAAATGAAAGAAATATATAAATAAATATAGTTATATTGAAGATTCGTTGAAAGCAAAACTGTGCTGCCTTCTTTTTGTAAATCTTGCTTTCCACGTTCAGTACATGGAGGTGCTCACAGTATTCTCCAGCAGACTGCGATAATGGTGATGCGGAGACCTAAGATGGAGATTTGGAGTGGGGAGATCATTTGATTTGGCCTTTAATGGAAGATACTGTAGGTGGAAGAGTCAGTGCTGACTTCCTAGAATTTAACAGTCACCATTGCAAATAGGCTACCGAGGTACCTGGAGTTGAGATTAGATCCTTGTGACTGGATGCCAAGGAGCTTCTTGCTGCTGGTTCATGCTTGACGGACGTGCCTGTTTTGGGTTAGGAGCAGTTGATTTCAGGTTTCCCCTGCAATTTATGCCTGGGGCTGTTCTAGTGAGCCTCACTTCCCTTTGTGAGCCCTCCTCGTGCTGCTTTCTCTTCCTGATAAGAATCCCCTAATTTGGCCGGGCGCGGTGGCTCACGCCTGTAGTCCCAGCACTTTGGGAGGCCGAGGCGGGCGGATCATGAGGTCAGGAGATCGAGACCATCCCGGCTAAAACGGTGAAACCCCGTCTCTACTAAAAATACAAAAAATTAGCCGGGCGTGGTGGCGGGCGCCTGTAGTCCCAGCTACTCGGGAGGCTGAGGCAGGAGAATGGCGTGAACCCGGGAGGCGGAGCTTGCAGTGAGCCGAGATCACGCCACTGCACTCCAGCCTGGGCGACAGAGCGAGACTCCGTCTCAAAAAAAAAAAAAAAAAAAAAAAAGAATCCCCTAATTTATGAGAGCAGGGTTCTTCAAATGGGAAACGTGGCTGTAGGCCTTTGTTTGTTTATTTTGCTTTTTGTTTTCTGCTTTTCAGAATAAACTGAGAAGGATTTTTAGAAAGACATGAAGAGAAAGAGCCACTTAAGGTGACTCAGGATTTGGGATCTCAGGTGGTTTGAGATCTATAAAAGAAGAGAGTTTCAAAAAGGAGGTGGCCAATATATAAAAGGACAAATTCAGCACTAAATACAGCAATTAGAAATTCAGCGGAGCTATTTTTCATGTGGACTAAAAGTGTGAAAACTATTTTATACTCCAGAGTAGAAGCTGAGTGATTAGGCTTCTCCTGTTTTTACCAAAATGATAAGTTGTTTCTCAGAATATATTGCTCTGAATGAAAAGCTGAGTTGTTTTTTTTTTCATTCTTAAGAAAAACCCATCCTCCCCTATGTTTGAAACTCAAAGTTACTTCCATCTGACTTGATGTCAGGTCATTGGTCTGAGGATCAGCCAGTGTGTTTTGAAGTACTGTATCTCACCAGGAACCACAGAGTCACTTAAATCCTACATGACTCGGCAAAATCCTTGTCATTAGGATTGGCTTTGCCAAGTCATTTAGGATTAGTAAACTTGTGACTGTTTTGTTCTGTAATGAAAATGTCTAGCGTGAAGAACAGAGGTCAAAATGATCTTATCTGAGCGAGTTTGCTTCAATTAATTCTTTGTAGTGCAGAGTTTTACAATATTACACCTTAAAAGTGGTGTACAAATTTAATTTTGGTAATACTTATACCATAATAAATTGGAGATAGAGGTTTATTTTTATGTATTGTGTGATCTCTTAAGTATTATACTAAAGTACTAAAGTGACTATCCATTGAAAAGCCATATCTGTTAGTGGTTCCACCATGCTGTTAAGGTATTATAATTTTAGAGTATAAAATATAGTTTTATTCATGAGCATTCAAATAGGAAAAATATATCTGTCCCAGTTTCTAATTTTTTTTTTATTTCAAGGGAAAAAATGGCACAAAGTTTGAAGATACACCCCGCTGAATTTTTTTTTGAGACGGAGTCTTGCTCTGTCACCCATGCTGGAGTGCAGTGGCACAATCTTTGCCCATTGCAACCTCTGCCTCCTGGGCTCGAGTGATTCTCCTGCCTCAGCCTCCCAAGTAGCTGGGACTATGGGACTACAGGCAGGCGCCACCACGCCCTGCTAATTTTTGTATTTTCAGTAGAGATAGGATTTCGTCATGTTGTCCTGGCTGGTCTCAAACTCCTGACCTCAAGTGATCCGCCTCCCAATGTGCTGGGATCCTGTTGAATATTTTTAATGCAGCTTAAATTTGTATAAGCCTTCAATTTTGATTTGTAATGAAGACAGGAGCAGAAATATATTTTGTGGTGCCACCAAGAGAGTTCAGCAAATCCACTGTAAGTTGTGTGAGTACATGGCTCACCTATCAACAATAGCTCTTTCTAAACTTGAAGGTGAGAACTTTAGTAATTTTGCTTTGTCATGGTTGAACGCTGCCATTAGACATCAAGAGCAAATTAAAGAGGAGAGTTGGGCTGTTAAATATCATACTCATTTATTAAGATAAGATAATGACTGAAAATTGTAGGACAAGCTAACTTTGTGTACTTTTTGAAGAAAGGAACCTTAAAATGTTTTTTTATTCCTTCATGTTAGATTTTGTAATTAAGAATTCTGTGGTAATTAATACAAAGTCTGACTTTAGTTAGAATGTTTCTCTAAATATGACTATGGAAGCCCATGTGTTATTTCAAATAATCTTCTTCAAATAGCTATATTTCCTTTATCATCCTTATTTGTTTATTTGACATGGTGTCACGTTATCCCTCTTTAATATTCATTTTTAAGCAGATTTATGAGAAAATACCCCTTATCTGTACATTATAAAATGGATGCAGCCTGAATTGACCATTAACTTTTTTTTCTAATGTAACAAAGCTGTGAAATTAGCATGATTCCTAATATTTTATGTTAAAAAGATGATTTGTGTTACATTGAAGATAACAAGGAAGCTCTTCTGCTGAGGCTTGTGTTGAAATGAGATTTTCTATAATTCTATTAAATTGTTGTTGGAGTTCAACATTTTTCTGGAAGCGATTCTGTATCTTCTTGTAAGATTTTAGAATAAAATATGAAACAGAATCTTTAATCATTGTTTCACTGAATGAGGTCTGTGCTCCTCAAAATGAGTGCTCCGAACCCTTTCGGATTCAGCATTACTGTGAGAGATTTAGGACACCTTCTCATGTAAGCTTATGGCAACCTCAGGAAAAGGGACTTATGTTAGGCAATAGATTGTAAAGTAACACATGCTCCTTATTCCAAGTAATCGTATGAGAATTTAGCTTCTATCTTCTGTGCCTGTTGCAGGGTGTAAGACCAAGCAGGTATATGTTAGTTGTTCCTGGTGGGCTGTAGCAAGCAAGGCTGCTCTTAATGATGGAGTGCAGGAACATAAAAAATCTCAACAAAGATGAAAGTTTCATGTCTCATTGGTAGTTTTTAAAAACAAACAAGCCGCAGCCCACAGAGGTTTATCATGGGGCTTTTCCTCTTTACATATGAAGTTATTAATTTGTAGCCTATGGCTCAGAAAGCAGCAGAGGCATTGACAGAACATTAAGTTCAAACTTAATGTCAAGAGTTGTACAGCGATTAGGCTGCAGGGGGTGTATTTTAAAGATAATGGTGACTGTGTGGCTAATGGGATAAATGCTTGGGATAAAGAGAAAACTCCAAACTCTAGCAGTGCTAGTAAGTGGATTTTCATGCTTTGGGCTTGCTTTACTTGGCTTTGAGGCTAAACATCAAAATCTTTATGATACCTTTTTCCTCTCTATTTTTTTTCCTGCTTATGTATTCATTGAAGTCTATTTTTATCATATTTTCAGTTGCTGGTCATTTACTAATGTTCAGAGAAATATGTACTTTTATGGCATATGTACACATTACATTGAAAGTCTTTCATGTTTATTATTTTTACAATGTGCTTTGAACTAGTTTTTTAAACTGAAATAAATTTCTATATGTATTATGGCTATGTCCATGGGAATGACTTCAAGTTCATTATATTTTGCTGCCTGCTTTATACAGATTTATACTATTTGTTTTGTACGTGTGCTATATAGGAGTTCATGCAAATGTATTTTGTATTATGGCTTGTTTTCTTAGTTACGAGCATCTGAAATATAGTATCTTTATTTAATACTATCACATACATAAAACTATAATTTCATTTACCAGTAAAATTATTATGCTTTGTTCTCTGCTAAGTATTTGTTGACCCAATATGTATTACAAATAACTTTGTGATGTTATATTTTGTTTTTAGGTTAGTAGACTATCATTGAATATCCTGAACTTATTTCCAACTGGATTCCAGTCTAAAGTAGATGAACACAATAATTAGTTTCCTTCTACAAAATCACTTTAAAATCACTCTCAATACACGTGTTGTAGAAAGTATTTTTTAGTCAATTGCCTGCCCTAGTTCTTTGTATCACTGGGATGCATCTGTCTGCCTGTGCATCTTCTGTGCTAGCAAACATGATATGGACAAACTGAATTTTTGTAATTAGAATGCTATTTTAAATGTACCAGAATGTACACTTAAATAGAATCCAATAATAATAGCTGATATTTATTGAGGGCTTCCTATGTGTCAAGCTGTGTTCTAAGTACTTTATCGCTGTACACATTTTTCTATTGCTGCATAATAAATTACTACAGTCAGCCATCTGTATCTTTGGGTTCTTCATAGATTCAATCACCACAAATAAAATATGTTTGAAATGAAAAATAACAGTACAATAAAAATAATATAAAATTTAAAAAAGAGTATAACAACTAATTTATATAGTGTTTACATTATATTAGGTATTATAAGTGTATAGATTTAAAGTATACAGGAGGATAGGTACAGGCTATATGCACATAGTATGCCATGTAATCTAAGGGACTTGAGCACCTGTGGATTTTGGTATCCACAGGGGTGCTAGAGTCAATACTGAGGGAGGAATGTATGATCTTAGTGGCTTAAAACAGCACTCATTTATTATACAGAGTGTGTACTCCAGGGGTGCAGGAATCTTGGGGCCACCTTAAAATTCTGCCAACCACAATAAGTATCAACTCATGCACTCCTCACAGCAACTCTGTGAAGCAGGCACTATTATTAGCAGAATTTTATACTTGAGGACACTTGGTCAAAGGAGTCACAGAACAACAAAGTAGGAGAGCCTGGGTAGGAACTCAGGCAGCCTGACTTGAGAGCATAGACTCTGTCTGCTCTTCAGCTATTGTTGTGTTAGGAGCTCAGTGCTGTAGCTATTCATTCCATTGCTTTTTCTGTATATCCGCAATTCTCTCTTCTTTCTCTTGTCATATAGTGTTCCGTAGAAGACCCACATATTTGTGGTGTTTAGGAAACCTTTACTTGGGTCCACATACCTTTTGTATGGATTTGATTTTACTTTCTTGGCCATTTAAGTAACCTCTGAGTCACAAAGCTAACTGCTGGATCCTGCCTCATAGACTTGCTTATTGGTTCTGTATGTTGCTATAAACTCATTCTTTTGCTATTAACTCCTGCCAGTTCTTGTAAAGTCTAGATTGAGCTTTTTGTTGGAAAATTGGGAGTTGTGGCCATATTGGGTCAGTTTCCACATCGCAGTAATTTTCTTGAGCTGGGTAGCAGCCACCCCTTCGTGAAGCATGAACTGTCCAATTTGCTATACTCAGCCTACTTAGCTAACCCTAACCCATTCTATTCAGTCTTCATCTGAACTTAAACTTGAAATATATATATATAAATCATTGTAACAGAAGTAGTCTTCTGTTTTCTTACTTCACTTATTGTTTATACAGTTTTTTTCACCTGAATTCCTTCTGTATTTAAAAACCCACTGCAGTTTTCAGTGATGAAATCTAATTCAGTCTTTTCATGAAAACAGTTTCACATGACAGAAAAATCCAGCCCACATTGAATGAAGCACAAAAGGAATTTGTTGGCTATGACTGAAAAATGCTTCCTTTTAGCATTGCTAAGGCCAGGGGCTCAAACAACATTATTAGGGTCTGGTCTCCCCCCATTGCTAGGCTTTCCTTCTGTGAGTTGCTTCGATTCTCTGATAGCCTTTCTTCTTAGGGTGGCAAGACAGTGGCCAAAAGTTCTAGGTTTTCATCCTCTCAGCTCCAAATTCAACAGGAAAAGTAACTTATTATTTTGTTGCTTAAGCATAATCCCCAAGATTAGTGGTGATTGTATTTCACTGGTGGGGCTTGGGGCAGGTATGCACTCTTGAAGCAATTGCTATAACCAGGGAAACGCGGTATTTCTATGTGCTTGCCTTAGCTCGCATGTCCTCCCTGGGAGTCTGTTCCAAGGAATCACAGAGACAGATAATGAGGAAGGGATGATTTTCAGAGGAATATGAGGAGTGAGTGCTAGATGACAGAAATAGTGCAGCTTCCTTGCTTACTTTCTGTCCCTCTCTTAAACTTCTCTAATACGGATTATCAGTGACACGTATAATATTCTGCTTTGTATTATAGTCACTTATTTATTTATTCATTTGCCAGACATTTAGTGCCAGTGATGTTGCAGGGATTGTGCAAGAGGATGGGAATAGAAAGATAAAAAAGACACATCAGTTGCCCTTGGGGAATTCACAATACAATATGCATAATTTGCTCCCCAGCTGGATTGTAAAGCTTAGGAGATGTCAGAAATGTTATTGTGTTCCCTTATAGCACGTAACATTATATTTCTTATAAAACAGACTCTCAATAGACAGTATAAAATGTGTGCATGCAGTTTATTAAAACATATTCTCATTACTTCAGACTTGCTAGGTGAATCAATCTTAATTTGTGGCCATCTTGTTTGTACTCATACCTGAAAACCATTCCCACTGTAGCTTTATTGTTTTCCCTTGTCCCTGCAGGAAGTGTACTACCTCCCTTTCGGGCACCTATGGAATTTTTCCAGCACTCATCTCATCCTGTCTTTTATCACAGTTACTTATTGGTTTGTCTTGGCTCCTGCACGAGAATTGAACATTCTTGAGAGCAGTGAATTGCTTAATAAATGTTTGCTGATTTGAATCTGTCGAATGGTGGAAGTGTCCTGGGGACTAGTTTCAATATTTTTTTCATTGTCTATTTATATTTTATTTGTTCATTAGACTTTGTTCAGATTTTCCCTTAAGTTCCCATTTATGCTTAATAGGCAGATTTGGGTTTTGCTCTTCATTAGTCTTCCATGTGCACATTTGGTACTGGTAGTATTTTAATACTTTTCACACAGTCAGAGGGTTGGTATTGATAATCAGTGACGACTTCTATCTCTACAAAGCTGAACTACCCTTAGGACGGGTAGCATTATTCTAGAAAGAAAATGAACTTCACTGACAGGCTGGGTGTTTTCTATTATCTGATCTGAAGTTAATATCCCTTGTTTCTATTTTGCTTGCAATAAAATCCAGACTTTGATTTCCTGAGGTCTTTGTAATCAGTAATGAAAAAGCAAACTTGATGTGCTTTGAGAAGGATAAGAGCCAACATTGAATACTGGCTGTATTCCAGGCACTGTGGCTTGCATATATTATATTTTAAATCTTCACAACAGTTCTATGGGGGTACGTACTATTATTATCCCTGTATTCCAGGAGACAAGACTGAGGCCTAGGAAGATGAAGGAACTTGCCCAGAGCCACATAGCTAGTCAGTGGTAGAACTGATCCTTAACCTAGGTGTCTGTAATTTTAGAGTTCATGTTTTTAGTACCTGGAAAGCACAGAGGCATTTGAAAATTCCAGATTCATACCTTGGCGTCCCACACCACCACAAAGATCAATAGCATTCTCATTCAGGTAATACTTTAAACATTGCTGGCCGCTTTCCTCACCCGTACACCTAAGAAGGCAATTTTGGGTATTTTAGAAATCTCTTTGGTAATAACAACAGCAGACTATAGACAGCCATCACATTACCTTTAATACATCTAAGTCCCCTTGATCCTTCAACACAACAAAAGCCATTGTCTATAATACATGCAAATGTGCATTTTCAACTGTGCTAATACATTTTATCACTCATTTGAAATGTTTATTGGGGTCTATAAAAAAACTATGTGCATTATGAAAAGTTAAAGTAAGTAAAAGCACAAATGAGAAATCCAAGTACCCTAGAAACCTTACTTCTTAGAGACCAACACTGTTAACAGTTGGGTCCACATTTATATCTTTATTTAGTATATACACAGCTACATGCATACCACGTATAATTTTTTAATGGTTGTATACTATTCCATTGTATGAACATGTTAAACTTTGTTAACTTTTTTTTTTTTTAAACTTTAATTTTAAGTTCAGGGGTACATGTGCAGGACTGTTTTATAGGTAAACTCGTATCATGAGGGTTTGTCGTACAGATTATTTTGTCACCAGGTGTTAAGCCTAGTACCTAGTAGTCATTTTTCAGCCTAGTACCCAGTAGTCGTTTTTCCTGATCCTCTCCCTCCTCCCATCCTCCACCTTCAAGTGCGCCCCAGTGTCTGTTGTTCCTCTCCGTGTGTCCATGTGTTCTCATTATGTAGCCCTCCCTTACAAGTGAGAACATGCGGTGTTTGGTTTTCTATTCTATGTTAGTTTACTAAGGATAATGACCTCCAGTTCCATCCATGTTCTTGCAAAGGATACCATCTCCTTTTTTATGGCTGCTTAGTATTCCCCAGTGCATATGTACCACATTTTAAAAATTCAGTCTACCATTGATGGGCATTTAGGGTGTCCATGCTTTTTCTATTGTGAATAGTGCTGCGATGAACATAGATGTGCATGTGTCTTCATGATAAATGATTTATATTCCTTTGGGTATGTGTCAGTAATGGGATTGCTGGGTCAAATGGTGGCTCTGTTTGTGGGTCTTTGATGAATCGCCACACTGTTTTCCACAATGGTTGAACTAACCTACACTCCGACCAACAGTTTGTAAGCGTTCCTTTTTCTCTGCAACCTCACCAACATGTTATTTTTTGAGTTTTTAATAATAGCCATTCTGACTGCTATGAGATGGTATCTCTTTGTGGTTTTGCTTTGCATTTCTCTAATGATCAGTGATGTTGAGCTTTTTTTCATACACTTGTTGGCTGCATGTAACATTAAAATTTAATGAACCAGTACGCTATTGAAGTATTTCCATTTTTTTCCACTGTAGGGAACATCAGTATACATCTATCTTTGCATATGAAACTGGTTTTTACATAGGATAAATTAGTAGAAATGAAGTTGCAGAAACAGATTTTACATTTTTATATATGTTGCCAGGTTGTGCTCTAATATATATTGCATTTACACTCCACCAACCCTATACAAGAACACTGCTTGCTTACTCACAGCCTTGCTAGTACGGGATACTGTTACTCTTTTTCATCCTTGCCAATCTTAAAAGTGATATAAGTAATGCCTCTTTGTAATTTTCATTTTCATTTTTTAGTTATTTGATTCTGGTGGGTTTGAAATCATGAAGTTTTGCATAATAAAACCATGAGACTTTGACTCTTTTTTTTCCCCATGAAATTTTTAAGGCCATGACAGTTCTAGGCAGACCTAGACATTTTCTCTGGCTTTTAAAAGTAGAGCTGTTCCTTCTTTATATGATGAAGTATAATATACAGGGAGTGTTGCATATTCTTGATGGTCCAGTCATCATCATTATATAAAGATAGCTTTTGGTACAATCTTATTTTTAAAGCTGTTAGGTCCAGAAAGTTTTTACCTGGTGGAAGTATACCTTTTACTTTATTAGTACAAAACCTCCATCTTGTCTCTGATATTTTATGAAGGGATACTTGGGAACAAATGTGGCAGCTCCTATAATAACACTTAAATTGTATTGAAAACACAAGATAGCCTCTTTATATTCAGCTTTCTTTTACATTCATGTACTTTGAACTTAAATGAGTTCATTAGGCATTAGGTTGGGTTTGTAAGCTTTAATATGATTTTGGTCATAGAAAAAAATTAATATTCAGTATTTAGATTATTTCAATTTGCCACCTTTGTAGTTCTTGATATTAGTATGCACTTATGTTTTATTCTTTTTTTCCTGCTGTAATAGCTTCTATTTATTATTATTATTTTTTTACCTCAGTGTGCTCTTGCTCTTTATGAATGTTTCCCCTTCTGAAGTTCTTTTCTTATTTCTCTTTAGCTGTTGACAAGTGGCACTGTCTGTGAACCTGCAGGTTTATATAGACAAAGGAAAAAGCTTATGTTGTTTATTGTCTTTCCAGAAGAGGGTGTAGCAAGAGAGGAAAAGAGCAGCTAGACTGTCCCATCCCCCTTCATTTTAAGCATCTCATAAAAATTAAAGATGATGGAATATTCATCATACTGAAAAGCACTCTTACAGTTATAATTCATAAATAACATTGGCAATTAAATTCAAGATGTCCTGTTAACAGAAACCAAAGAGTAAAGCTGTCTACCTCTAAAATATGAAGATCATTGTCCTATGAGACAAGGATGAATGGAGATAACACATATTTAGAACTGAAATGGAAGTCTTAGAAGGAAAAATTGCTTAATTTAATTGAAAAGTATTGTGAATCTTGGGTAGATTCATAGCATTCTCTGGTCAATACAGTGAATCTCTGGTATTTATACATCAGAATAATTGAATATTTGACATTTGATGCATCAGAAAAATATTCTAGTCAAGAAATTTATTCTTGTTTAGGGTTAAAAACGTTTTCATTACAAGCCAGTAATTTCAGGTTCTGTCCTTATTGAACAAATGCTCTTGTCCTTTTAACTTAGGAAGGGTTATGATGTAAGCCTGAATCACTTACCTTTGTTCGTTGAGGGTTCTTGATCTTAGAATATAAGACAAATTCTTGGATGCGTTGTTTCCCTGCTAACTCATTAACCCATTGTAGGCTAGCTGCTGCCTCTACTACCGTACTGAAGTGAATTCACTCACGTAACTAGTTACATCCTAAATGTTGAATACAGTATTTTGTTCTCTTTCTGTGTCCTGTTTGACTCCTCTGAGGCATATATTGTTGACTGTTTCCTTAATGAAACTCCTCTTTTATGACTTTGAAGATACCTCTGTCACCTTGTTTGTTTCACCTCCATGGATCTTTAAATGTTGGCATCTCTCAAAGATGGTCCTTGTTTCTCTTTCTTACTTTCTTTTTCACATTGTTTTTCTAAATAGATTCAACTATTACTTAATTGTGAATGAGTAAATTTTTGTCTCTGTGTCAGAGCCCCCTCCTGAGTTCCAACTCTATTTCTAACTGCTGGCCATTTATGTCCCTGAATCATTGCCCAAACTATTTAAAGTCTGGATGATTATCTAGCACTTTCCTCAAATCTCTATCACTCATGAGTTTCCTTTATTGTATTCATCGATTGTTAGCTTCCTCTACCTAAGTTCCTCAACCTAGAAGCATTTTCAGAATCTCTGTGATCTTTAAGAACGCTATCTCAACAAAAATATGTTATCTGTACTAAGTATAGTACAATAATACATAAATGATTCATTAATCACTTAAATAGGAGTTTATTTAAATAGGAATATCATATTGTATTAATATTTTGTCTGAACTTCATAGAATTTAAAATGTCTGATTTTCTAAGGTATGCTGAACCTTCACTGTGATTTTAACAAATGTCTTTTCGGAGGGGTAGAGGACAGTGCTCCAATTTTATAGAGAAAGTAGAAGGAAAATGACTTACAGAAAATGAGATTACACACAATGTTCAAGGCTGTTTCAGAAAATAATTTAGTTATTTTGTATATAAATATACATTTATAAAAATATATGTTCTAAAAAGTATATAATGTTATTTATATATAAATCTGCATTAACTATATAGGTTAAGGCAAGAGCCAGTTTCTTCTGTCATGAATGTAGGTATTTTCTTGTGAAGCCAATTTATTGTCGAAGCCAAAGGAGTTGCAGTTTTTATTCTGGTTGTCATTCTAGACATTCAGCATGCATATACAGTTCTGTAAAGTTATTAACACATTGAAGAGAAATGAGTTGTTCATGGCTAAAGTTGTGGGGGCAAGTGTTACCATTTCTTGAATCGTTGTAGAAACAAGTACTTGAAAAGTCTTAACTGTAGAGAAAATCCATGTGATTTTCATGGGCGTGACTGAGGCTTCGGTGGTTGTGGAGGAAGTTTCTCTGTCTGCATAGTCTGCATGTCCAGACTCAGAGCGGCCTAATTCCTGACAGTCACTTCCTTCCTCTCCTGTCTAGAATCAGTTCATTTTCAATATGTCCTTCTAACATTTTCTAGATGAAAGCAGCAAGTTAAAAACATCCAAGAATGTCCTGGAGTGCAAAACCTACCTCCGCATGCATACATGCATACATACAACAGCAGAACAAAACACCCAAATCAAACCTTTGAATTTTCTGTGAGAAATTTAGTCTTTATAATTCATACCTCCCTTGGGGATTGATTTTGTTCTCCTTCTGATGAATTTTGACTTTCTTGTCCCATGCCTGTCATCTCAATTGTTTAACGATTTATTTTTCTTGCTCAGAGGATTCAGATTTCCAGATCATATGGCTATAGCTTGTACTGGTGTCAAGGTCAAAATCTTTTAATTTTATTGATGGAACTGGTATTGTAACCTGAGGGTCTCTTGCTGTATATTTAAATCCTGTCATATTGCCTAAAAACAGTCATATCTTGGTTTTGGTCCAACAGATACTTTTATTAAATTCCTTGGCTACATCTAGTTTACTTTTTCCTTGAGAGAAATATAACAGAATACCACCAGCATCTTGATTGCAAATAGATTGTTACCGTGGCAACCTGACAGTTTTTAATATTAGAATCTTCTTGTTAAATCAAAACTTATGAAATTGGAGACCTTTCCCTGACTGAAAACATTATGCTGCCTCTTATAGTTGGAATTACACTGTGTCCAAGCAGAAAACTGTTTTTCTTTATTAAGAAAACAAACACTTTGTTTGCTCATCAACTCCTCGGCTACTATCTTAGGACCTTTGGCTTCTCAACTGTAGACCCTTTTCTGGGTAGGATCTTTTATGCTGCTGGGCAGCAGTGGGATCTGTAAGAGATACTAAGTAAAGAGAATCACAGTTTGGTCTCTGACACTAAAGAACGTTACCACCTAGGGACTGCGTGAGTGGGCTTGGGGAGATTGCTTAGGTTCTGGTGCTGCTATTAGAATACTAATAGAATTAGTATTCTGAGTGGGAATACTAATTCCTGCCTTAACTTGTCTTATAAGCTTGTTTTAACAAAGGAGTACATAAAATATTTATTATTACATATTATTCACAGTGAATAACAGACATAAGTAATATGCAACATATTAGATTTATGTATTATCTCATGTAACCTCCACAGTAACCCTGTAAAATAGATATATTATTCTCACCTTATATATGAAGACATTTGTAGGCAGAAAGGCTAATTGGGTCGGGCACGATGGCTCATGCCTGTAATCCCAACACTTTGGGAGGCTGAGGTGGGCAGATCACTTGAGGTCAGGAGTTCCAGACCAGCTTGGCCAACATGGTGAAACCATGTCTCTACTAAAAATACAAAAATTAGCTGGGCGAGGTGGTGGGTGCCTGTAATTCCAGTTACTTGGGAGACTGAGGCAGGAGAATCATGTGAACCTGGGAGGTGGAGGTTGCAGTGAGCCGAGATTGCACCACTGCACGCCAACATGGGCAACAGAGTAAGACTCTGTCTTAAAAAAAAAAAGGAAGCTTAATTGGTTTGCCCAGATCACACACAGATGTATACATGGACTCAGAAAGAGTTGTCTGTTTCTATTTTCAGGGCTTTCTCCACGAATTCTTTGGCCTATCATGTAGCTGGCACATAGTAGGCACTGTGCTGACACATAGCAGGCACTGCATATTTGTTGACTAAATGAACACTTAGCTGAACACTTACAGGCAATGGTAGTCAGCCCTCAGTAAGACTGACCATTTGTAGATAGATTTAATCTGGTCAAGAAATTAGAATTTGCTAAAGCTAACTCTGCAACATAGTGGGCCCTGGTTGCTTCTGTAATTGTCTATCATTCATCAGGCTTTCATCTGACCTTACTGAGTGAGTGCTATGTGCTGGGGACGCCGGTATTTAGAAATGAGGAAGACATTCTCTAGAGTATACAGATGATGGCTAATGCTGTGGAGGTGGAAGGAATGTAGGGAGAGGGTAGGTAGAAAAGAAAATAGGAGCAGCATGGATGGAACACTTTGGAACAGGAACATTTAAGGGGCAAGCTGAAAAAGAGAAGCCAGCAAAGGCGACTGAGAGGGAGTAAAGTGGGAGGAAAACCTGGAGAGAAAGATATCATAGAAACCAAGGGAGAAAAAGCACTTCATGGAGGTCAACAGCTTCAAGTGCTGCAGAGACGTCAGTTAACGTGAGGACTGAAAAGGTTCATTGAGTTCAATAATAGGGAATCCTTTGGTGAGCTTTGCTAGAGCACCTTAGAGTCATGAGTGCTTGATCATTTTGAGAAACCTGACTGTGAATAGAAGAAAAGAATAGGGCACTAATTAGGAGTGTGGAGTTTTTGGTTCTGTTTTTTTGTTTTGAAGAGATTTGAATGTGTGAGCCAGCAAAGATGAAGATTTAAAGATAAGTGGGCAAAAGGGTTATTAATGATGAAGTGATATTTCTGAGAAGGTGAGAGCAAAGGAATTAACCTTGAATCCTGGGATAGACGCTCTTCTTCTGAGACTGTCGTGGGTTTTTCCACTGTGCCGGGGGAGGGGTTTTCTTGGAGTAGTCTCACTAGCAGGAGGGCTGCTTTTGCTCCATGTCTGCAAAAGTGGAAGCACGTGGGTGAATGCTAATGTGCGTGTTATACTACTTAGAAGTTACAGTCCTCTAATTTTTTAACTTGCCTTCTGATACTGGCTTAAAATAAGTTACAGTTTAATTAAAGGTATATATTGATCACACTTACCACACCTATGGTAAAGTAGCCTTCTAAAAGCTCCAGATCTCTAGGGTGCCAGCAAAACATCCAAGTACATAATACATGTAGATGAGGTAGCAAGCGAATGATTTGTTGTTCAGACTACATGACCAAATATAGTTCAGAAGATATCTGTCAGTGCTGGGGCCTCATGGAGAGAGGGAGAGATCATCCACTAGGTCAGGGACCCATAACATTCTTTAGGGGGTGATATGATGTAGTTTGGGGATTCACAATCCTTTCTCGGTGAGGAGATGCAAATTGGCCTCATAATTACCACCATGTATGGAATAGCATCATACATGATCTAGTTGTTGTTTTTTATGGTACAGTGTTTTTACAGTACAGATACATTTACCCACCAAATATGGTGGTTTGGAATGATTCTTTGTGATCTTCCTTGATTTCATCAGCAATTTTTCCCAACCCATGTTTCAGTTTTCAGTCTTAATACTTAGCATTAACTAAAATTATGTTCTTGAACATGGCTATATGTTGACCCTTTCCTTATGTTTTTTCAGTGTCTGCCATGCTCCCTGCCTAAGCTTCCTGTTGTTTGCTCAGCCCTTTGTGTTCCTTTTGCAGAGACTCCAATTTCAGCATGACTCTTTTGCCCCCAAATGCTCTCAAGTAATAGGTTGGCAATACGTGTTCATGGTCTTCTGTTTAAGGGAAGCTTGTAATGTGTCATTCCTTTTACTGTGTCACATGGTTTACTGCAGCATATCCCTACAAAATTTATATTGTGCTGTGCTGGAGTGACTGGTATGTTGGAGTGGATTTTTATTAGCAATATATTTATCCATATAGTGATCATATCTGCTTTAATACTTGACAGTGATAGTAAGTCTAAGATACTGGTGTATTGGATAGTAAGTCTAAGGTACTGGTGTATTGGATAGTAAGTCTAAGATGCTGGTGTGTTGGATAGTAAGTCTAAGGTACTGGTGTGTTGGATAGTAAGTCTAAGATGCTGGTGTGTAGGATAGTAAGTCTAAGATGCTGGTGTGTTGGATAGTAAGTCTAATGTACTGGTGTATTGGATAGTAAGTCTAAGATGCTGGTGTGTTGGATAGTAAGTCTAAGGTACTGGTGTGTTGGATAGTAAGTCTAAGGCACTGGTGTTTTGGATAGTAAGTCTAAGATGCTGGTGTGTTGGATAGTAAGTCTAAGATGCTGGTGTGTTGGATAGTAAGTCTAAGATGCTGGTGTGTTGGATAGTAAGTCTAAGATGCTGGTGTGTTGGATAGTAAGTCTAAGATGCTTGTGTGTTGGATAGTAAGTCTAAGATGCTGGTGTGTTGGATAGTAAGTCTAATGTACTGGTGTGTTGGATAGTAAGTCTAAGGTACTGGTGTGTTGGATAGTAAGTCTAAGATGCTGGTGTGTTGGATAGTAAGTCTAAGATGCTGGTGTGTTGGATAGTAAGTCTAAGATGCTGGTGTATTGGATAGTAAGTCTAAGATGCTGGTGTGTTGGATAGTAAGTCTAAGATGCTGGTGTATTGCATTGGTCATGGGAGGTAGAAATGGCTCCTTTACTACCTACCTGTGTGATCGTCAAATTCATATTTTCCCAAGGCTAATATTTTCTTCTTTCTACTGTAATTAGCTTCCTCATTCTGCAAGTTAACTATGATTATAAATACTGAATACCTGGCATGTTTTCTCAAGTATGAAAATAAAAGCTTATACTTAATGTGTAAATTACAGTTGAACATAGGTCCAGACATATGGTTATTAGTGTTGCTTAAATTACTGGTTTTTCTTGTCATTGCTATTGCAAGTGTTCTCAAAGTGACGGCAAATCACTTCCTTTCCTGTACTGTGTAAGTAAAATAAATATATTTTAAAATGTATGAATGTGTAATGTAGATATTACTCTATTTGACCTTTTATTTGGAGGTTAACATATAAATAAATAGCAACAACTAGTATTGAGAAGTCCAGATGCACTGGGCTTGCTTAGGTGCCTCGTGGTCTCCATAAACATTTGGTCTAGTGTTTCTGGCTAAAAGCCAGCAGCAAATTATACTTTCCATGCAACTCTTAGCTCACTCTCTTCCTTCTCAGAGCATGATCTGCAAAATGCACTCATAAGACATCAAATTTGAATTGCAAATTTGTATGCGAATATTATTTTACAAGTAGTCGGGAAAGAAACCAGAGGGGAACGTTTCCCTAATTTGTTAGCAAGCTGTATACATAATTTGTAACTGATGCTTGTCTTGACCATCTAGTCATCAGTATTCTGTAGGTTATGGAAATACCAATGTTTTCAAATCTTTGCTTTGTTTTTATCAAGACTACTTTATTAACCTATGTATTTTTTTTTTTATCACGCTTAAAAGCTTGTTTAATTGTCCCATCACAAGGTAACAAATAGTCTTGTTTTTTAAACATGGGAAAGCATTTTATATTGTTGAAACTGGCATGTTTTAAAATAAATATATAACCTCAGGAGCTGGCTTATAAATTATTATATTTCTTTCTGCTGCTTTGAAATGGTGCTAGGGTAGCTGATGATGAAGACATCAGTGTGGTAAATTAAGATTGTGTGTATTTAATTATGTGTGTTTAGTTCAGAAGGAAGCTAGATTTTTTTCCACCAGCTGGGCAAGGTAAAAGAAATGGGATGTGAAGGAAAAAAAAGGAAAGAATATAGGGTTTTTCAGTTCATTGTGAGAGGCTGAGGTGCTTTTATTCCTTCTGCCTTGCTAGTTGTGATATTGCTTATTGATATTAGGAAAACGAAACTCCAGACACTTGAGCATGAAAAATTACCCAGTGTTTATGGCCTTGAAAATATGTTGATGTGTCTGAAACTCTCACACTCGAAAGTTAAGCCTTGAAGTTACAGGCCAATTTCAAGGTTAGACAAGGAATGGTTTTTACAGGTGCACTTCATTGATGAAGAAACTTTTTGTAGAGAAGTCATACTTAAGGAGTTCATAATTTAAGAAATTAACCATATATCTCTTCCCTGATAGCTTTACTAGGGTTTTCAGGGCTTCTCTTGTCTAGTGAAATGAGAACAGTAACTGAAATGAACAGTCCAAAAAGAAGCTTTTAAAATTTCAAGCGACAGTAGAAATTGGCCAAAAGTTTAGATAGTTTAGTGGATAATAATCACTATTAGTGACAGAAGATGAACTATGGAATGTAGATGGTTTAGTTCCCTTTTCTCCAGTTTTTGCTGGAAAACTCTCAGGTCTTCCCCAGTCCAATTTCCTCTCTTCATATGCTAATGTAGTTATTTTGCTGTGTTGCTGTTTCTCCTGTCATCATATATTTGAACATCATTTGAAGATTCCTTTAAGTATGGAGCAGCATACTTTTGGTCGCCAAGGAGATGGCTTCTTTTAGATCTGTGTACTTTCTGATTTTGCTAAGTTATGATAGTTTTTTCCTCACAGGCCCACACACTCGTGATAAATATATACAAGTGAGTCGTACTGTCTGTGTTGATAGTTTGGGAATTATTTTGAGCAGAGTGGCTCCCTATATTTATGATATATGGGAATAGTCCCTACTGAGGAAGTCTGTGTATCCACTTACCCGGGGTTGCCCTGGATTATGGTTGTGGACCTCCATTGGTGAGTTCATGGTTACTGTTAGATGCAGGTAAAATCTCCTCTAGCCACTAGCACCCACGAACAGTAACATTTACTGAGCATTTACCAAGTGCCATGCACTGCACCAAGCAGTCGAATTATCTTATAAAATGTCCACTGAGATCAGTGTCAGTGAGTGGTAGATTTACATACACTACCAGTCATGCAAAGAAAATATACTATCAAAGTAAATTTTTTGAAAAGTTAAAACCTGACTCTCACAGAAATACAAAACGAAATGCCAAAGATGTATTAACTTATTAATGAGGAAACCAGGCAGAGTTAATGCAGGTCCAGAGTACTGAAGGAACTGATCTTTAGGCATTAGAATAAGATTGCTAGATTGGAGACAAAACTGGTGACGTTCTGCATGCACTAAAACCACAGTTTTTAGAGTTATCCTTTCTGCTGGACAGAAATCTATAAGCTAACGTTGTAGTTTCACACTATCTGTGCTCTAACAGCAAGTAACAAAGTCAAATGCATTGGCATTCTTCTAGGGAATTAAATAATCCTTGGGTGAAGCTGTGAAACAGTGCTCTAGAGTAATATGAGAAGGCCACACAGCTCCCTAATCTTTTTCTTTTTTCATGTTTTGGATAATTTTAATTAACAATCGCTTTTTAAGATTATTATTTTCTTTTGAGACGAAGTTTTGCTTTTGTTGCCCAGGCTGGAGTGCAGTGGCGCAATCTTGGCTCACTGCAACCTCCGCCTCCTGGGTTCAAGCGATTCTCCTGCCTCACCCTCCCAAGTAGCTGGGATTACAGGTGCCCGCCACCACACCCAGCTAATTTTTTGTATTTTTAGTAGAGACAGGGTTTCACCATGTTGGCCAAGCTGGTCTCAAGTTCCTGACCTTCAGGTGATCCACACAACTCAGTCTCCCAAAGTGCTGGGATTACAGGCGTGAGTCACCGTGCCTGGCCAGGCTTTTAAATATTTTATAATTGAACTACATTTTCTTACCTCAGCCCATCTGGGGAAGCAGTTAAGTAAGGAATGTACATGATTGGACAAACTTACCCCTTAATGGTGCTTCTGTTTCTTGTAGTTTAAAGTCCTTGGGTAGCTTGTCTTTTTTTCAGATAAATGCTCAATTCTTTGCATTTTCCCCTCCTTGTCCTTCCATGGCAATGGGAGCAAGACTGCAGACTGGTCCTGATTCTCTTCTGCCCCAGGTGGTTGGTTTATCTAGTCTTGTGCCTGGACTAGCCTTAGCTTTTATTCTTGCCATCTCTCCACTCTGGGGAGTCTTAGTCTCTGCATTACCCCCACTGGGTCACAGGAAAGCTCAGGATCCACTGCATAACATACGCATGGGGCTGTAGGGGACCAGGAGGCCACTTCTGGGTTTTCCCTCCTGTTGTGTGTGGATCGTAGTTTTGAACCAAACCAGAAGCTTCTCTGTGGAGCTACGGTTCTAAATCCAGGCTGCACATTTGAATTACCTGATGGCGGAGTTCAAGACCAGCCTGACCAACATGGTGAAACCCCGTCTCTACTGAAAATACAACAATTAGCCAGGCGTGGTGGTACACACCTGTAATTCCAGCTACTTAGGAGGCTGAGGCAGAAGAATCGCTTGAACTTGGGAGGTGGAGGTTGCAGTGAGCTGAGATTGCACCACTGTACTCCAGCCTGGGTGACAGAGTGAAACTCCATCTCAAAAAAAAAAAAAAAAAAAAAAAAAAAAAGAATTACCTGATGGCATTTCAAAAACTTGCCAATGCTTGAGTTCCTGAGCCCAGACCAATCTAAGTGTCTGGGGGTGGGGGCCCCAGGCCGTGTAACGTTCCAAGGCCTTCCTAGGTGGTTCTACCCTGCAGCTGTGCTCATGGAAGCAAGGTGAGCTTCTCATTCCGTTTTCAGCCCTCATTTTAAAAATTAGTGTTTTAGGAATTTAGAAAGCACATTTTCTCTTGACAAAGCTTGGCTGTCAAGAATTTTGCTTGTTGACTGAAAATATTGATTTATAGGTGTCATAATTGAACACTGAGTCTTTCTCTTTGTATTCCTGTTTCCATAAACCTGAATATCCCGTAGGCAGATGGATGCCCCTGGCCAAAACAGAGACAGGGTCAGGTGTAAGGAACCACACAAAACCCCCCCAAATCTAATTACTATACTTCAAGAATAGTATTCCCAAAACTTGGTATTTCTATGTCCATCTTAGAGATGTGGTAATAGGCAAAGTGAGGTTTAGTATGACTTGCCCAAGGTCACCTAGCAAGTGAAAGAAACGCAATTTAAACCCAGCTTGTCCCCCTCCAACCCAGTTTGGACATAGCGGTAAGTTCTTCTGGAGTCCTAACTTAACAGATGGAATGCCAAACACATTTTTAGAAAACATAAACTATTAAATAGTGATTACATTCATGGGTTTTTACTACAAAAGCTTTTTAAATTTGTAATGAAACTGTAAAAGGAAATCTTTAGCTCATTGACCTAATTATTATTCCGAAAACTATATATATTAGAAAATATTTTCTAAGTTTAAAACAACTCTGGACTTTCACTAATGTTTTCTGATCAATTGATATTCATGAAATTCTAAAATGATTGTTGTTTTTTAAAATGTTATTTTAGGCTGGGCACTGTGGCTCACGCCTATAATCCTTGCACTTTGGGAGGCCGAGGCAAGTGGATCATTTGATGCCAGGGGATCAAGACCAGCCTGGCCAACATGGTGAAACCCTGTCTTTACTAAAAATACAAAAAATTAGCCGGTCCTGGTGGCGCACAACTGTAATCCCAGCTACTCGGGAGGCTGAGACATGAGAACTGCTTGAACCTAGGGGGCGGAGGTTGCAATAGCCGAGATTCCGTCACTGCACTCCAACATGGATGATAGAGCAAGACTGTCTCAAAAAAAAAAACAAAAAAAAAGATTTTTTTATTATATCTTGAGGTCATATATTTTCCAAAGATATACCACTACAGTTTTATAATGATGGTCAATGGAGAAAATTTCTCCACTTGAAATTTAGAATTCAAAAGTCTGATTATCAAATATTTGAGAGGCAGCAGACCTACGTACTCTTTAGTTAATAAATATTGAGTGTCTGGTATGTGCCATGCCCTATACTAGGTGGATATACAAAGATGAACAAAAACAGTGTCTCTGTATTACATTTATATTGGCAAGTCATTACTACATACAAATTTCTAAAAATTTTTAAAAAGACCTTCAGGGAGTCTGTAGAAAACTAGCACTAATTTTCTGAGAGTTTGAGTACAGAACTAATGTCAGTCTTGTGTTATACTCAGGAATTTTCATTGAGTGAAAACTTGAGGAAATAATTTGTATGATGAATTTTAAAGAAATTGGGACTTCCCTAAGACAGTGGAAAATATTTGTTTTTAAGAGGCATTGATGGGAGCTGTGTGGTGATTTGTGATTTGTCAGATTAAAAAAAAAGTGCTGTGTTTACCTATGTAACAAATCTGCACATCCTGCGCATGTATCCTGGAACTTAAAAACAAAAATTTAAACAAAAGTGCTGGCAAAGCAAGGTTTTGTTATTATCCTTTATTAAGCTTTTTGTGGGATGGAGGTTTTACTTTAGAATCAGAAACCTCAAGTGTCTTTCTCATATAATGACTTCTTTTCCTCTGGGTAGATACCGAGTAGTGGGATTGCTGGATGGTAGTTCTACTTTAGTTCTTTAAGGAATCTCCACACTGTTTTCCATAGTGGTTGTACTGGTTTACATTCCCACCAGCAGTGTAGAAGTGTTCCCTTTTCACAGCATCCATGCCAACTTCTATTTTTTTTAAATTTTTTTGGTTATGGCCATTCTTGCGGGAGAAAGGTGGTATTGCATTGTGATTTTGATTTTTGTTTCCCTGATCATTAGTGAGGTTGTGCATTTTTTCATATGTTTGCTGGCCATTTATATCTTCTTTTGAGAATTGTCTATTCGTATCCTTAGCCCACTTTTTGGTGAGATTGTTTTTTTCTTGCTAATTTGTTTGAGTTTCTTGTAGATTCTGGATATTAGTCCTTTGTTGGATGTATAGATTGTGAAGATTTTCTCCCATTCTGTGGGTTGTCTGTTTACTCTGCTGACTGTTCCTTTTGCCATGCCAAAACTCTTTAATTTAATTAAGTCCCATCTATTTATCTTTGTTTTTGTTGCATTTGCTTTTGGGTTCTTGGTCATGAAGTCTTTGCCTAAGCCAGTGTCTAGAAGGGTTTTTCCAATTTTTTTTTTTGTAGCATTTTTATAGTTTCAGGTCTTAGATTTAAGTCCTTAATCCATCTTGAGTTGATTTTTGTATAAGGTGAGAGGTGAGGATCCAGTTATTCTCCTGCATGTGGCTTGCACTCGCATGTTTGTACCAGCAGAGTTCACAATTGCAAAAATATGGAACCAGCCCAAATGCCCATCAGTCAATGAGTGGATAAAGAAATTGTGGTATATATACATGATGGAATATTACTCAGCCATAGAAAGGAATGAATTAATGGCATTTGCAGCAACCTGGATGCAACTGGAGACTGTTGTTCTAAGTGAAGTAACTGAGGAATGGAAAACCAAACATTGTGTGTTCTCACTCATAAGTGAGAGCTAAGCTATGAGGGTGCAAAGGCATAAGAATAATACAATGGACTTTGGGGACCTGGGGGACAGGGTGGAGGGAGGTGAGGGATAAAAGACCACAAATTCGGTTCAGTGTATATTGCTCGGGTGATGGGTGCATCAAAATCTCGCAAATCACCGCTAAAGAACTTACTCATGTAACCAAATACCACCTGTTCCCCAAAAACCTATGGAAATAAAAAAAAAAAAGGAAAGGCAGTTACTAGTCAATATCACTAGTAAACATGAGTTTTTAAAATCCTAAATAAAATATTAGCAACCTGAATCCAGCAAATAATTTAAAAGCAACATGACCAGATTGTGTTTTCTTCCAATAATGTAAGGCTGGTTTCACATTAGAAACCTATTAATACAATTTACCATACTCCCTTAAGGAGAAAAATCATTTGATTATCTCAATACAATCAGAAAAAGTAAAGAAAAATAAAAGAATTAGAGGCTGGGCGCGGTGGCTCATGCCTGTAATCCCAGCACTTTGGGAGGCTGAGGTGGGCGGATCACGAGGTCAGGAGATCGAGACCATCTTGGCTAACATGGTGAAACCCCGTCTCTACTAAAAATACAAAAAATTAGCCGGGTGTGGTGGCGGGTGCCTGTAGTCCCAGCTACTCAGGAGGCTGAGGCAGGAGAATGGCGTGAACCCAGGAGGCGGAGCTTGCAGTGAGCCGAGATCAAGCCACTGCAGTCTGGTCTGGGCGAAAGAGTGAGACTCCGTCTCAAAAAAAAAAAAAAGAAAAAGAAAAGAATTAGAAACCTCAGAGAATGGAAATTTTGCTCATGTTTCATGGTATTGAGAGAATTCACGTTGCTGACCTGGTAACCCTGAA
Organism: Homo sapiens; assembly: GCF_000001405.40. Classification (NCBI taxonomy): domain Eukaryota; kingdom Metazoa; phylum Chordata; class Mammalia; order Primates; family Hominidae; genus Homo; species Homo sapiens. Next base: position 246,284,325 of record NC_000001.11, on the reverse strand, counting down.
GTGTTTAAGTGCTGCAGATGGTCAAAGGAAAGCTGAAAGATTTCGGAGCCTGCTGCTTTCTTTGTTCTGCGTTTGCAACACATTACCAGATGCTAGATGCAGAAGTACTGCAGCACTTGCCTGTTGGGAAAGCTTAATCTAACTGCTCAAGTAGCTGATATGCAGCATCTGACAGCCTGCTATGCCGTTTTGCAGCATACTCACCGGTGCTTTTGATATTGGCTCTGAGGAAGTACTTTTGGTTGCAAGTGACATGGCATGTACCTCTCCAGCAAGACTTCGTTTCTGAGAAATTCATGTAGTTCTTCTTTCATGAGTAATTTACCTTGTTTGATTTTTCTACTGGTTGATATGCTATTTTAGTCAAATATTAATGTGCTACATTTAAATGCTTGACTTCCTTTTGTTATTTTGAAATCAGTTATTAGGGTGAATGGTGTACCTGAAGGTTGTGTGTAACTCACAGTTGTCATGGGCTGTGAAAGCTGGCAAGTGCTGCAGTTTTTGTTTATGACTCGGTTGTGTCAGTGGGAGACAGAAATTCTAAAAGATACTGCAAGCAGATCCTGGTCGATTTCTGTGAGTGCTATAAGTTCTGGGAGAAATGATCTTGGGCTTTAGATGTTATCGCTGTGGCAATTATATTTCTTCTGGTCTCACAGAAGCAAGTGTCATTAAGAGCTTTAAATATTTGAAATTAGAACCATATGAGTTATTTTGAGACCTCTAGTTACTGTAATTAAACATACACAGGTATATATGAATGAGGACGTTATTTATGCATGAGCAAGGGAAGCTTTTCCATGGCTCTGATTATTGGCAGGCAGGGGTGGTGAGGAAGGAAAGCAAGATGGACACATCTGACACATTTAAAGCCCAGTTTAGCCAGAGTAAGGATTTTGAGGTCCTTTCTCTTTGTTCAGATTGCGAGTCGATGGTAGGACTTTGGGAGGGATGTAGCAAAGGGGATGTAATAATGGCAATAGCTCATGCTCATGAAACACATAGGTTCCAGGTAAAATGCTAAGCTCTGTGCATATGATCACTCACTGTTACACTCTTGGCAATGTTATTATCTCTGGCTTAGGAAAGTAGATGACATGCCCAAGATTACATTTGTAGAACTGTGGTGTGAACCCAAGCCACCCTGAGTCCAGATCCCAAAAGCTTGACCACTGTTTTATTTTCTATGGGGGGTTACATGCTCCCTCAGTAAGTTTTAGATTTTTAAGGTGCCATTGTTGAGCAGAAGAACCTTTAGAGCTCCTTATTTCTTTTGTGGCTTTTCCTGTCTCAGGGAAGGTGCAGGCAGAGGAAGTTAAATTCCGATCACTCTGAAGGAAGAAGTTTGCAGCAGTGGTAGGATGATATAGAAAGTATTGACAGTGCTGAGAATCTGGGATTATTTATTCTTGTTTGGAGTGAGAGACTGGATCTTCAGTTTACTTTAGATAATTAACAACTGCAACAAACCAGGTTGATTTATTACATTTTCTAGTTAGATTTTGTTGACTGTTCAGTTATTCTAGTCATGAATAAATTTTTATCATTTTTCCCCATAACATATGTTGAAGCAGAAGTCTCATCTGCTAGAAGCAACATTTAAAGTGCTTGCATAACAATATTGTTGATACAGAAGATTTTTTGTATCCAAACAAAGAAGTTAACTACTGTGCTTCATTTATCTTCATCTGTCTGAAGTACCAAGAAAAGAGATGTGGAAAAATAATGATAGGTAAGCAAAAGAAAAGAAAAATACATGCAGCTTTTTTTTTTTGGAACAAATAATTTTATTTTTTAAAATTATTATTAATTTTTTTGAGACAGGGTCTTGCCCTGTTGCCTAGGCTGCAGCACAGTGACGCCACCTTGGCCCACAGCTCACTGCAGCCCCGACCTCCTGGGATCAAGCGATCCTTCCATCTCAGCCTTTTGAGTAGCTGGGCCTACAGGTGGGCAACACCACCCCCAGCTAATTTTTTTGCTTTTTTTTTTTTTTTTTTTTTTTTTTTTTTTTTTTGTAGAGATGAGGGTCTTGCCATGTTGCCCAGGCTGGTCTCAAACTCCTGGGCTCAAGCAGTCCTCCTGGCTTGGCCTCCCAAAGTGCTAGGATTACGGGCATGAACCACTGCACCTGACCAGGAAACAATTTTTAGACCTCTACATTATATTTGTTTTTATGATCTTCTGTCTTTCCTACTATGCCATGATCTATATAAGTAAAGTATACATATTTGGACCTTTAAAACTGGATTCACATAGTCCCCGTCTTGCAGAACTATTTTTCACATCATTTGGTCTTGTAGATATGTTACAAAAACAGAAAGGAATTTAATGACATTCTACCTCCTCTCTCTTTTTTCCTCTTTAATAGGTTTCATTTCCAATAGCCCAGCACCAGTGTGTCATTGTCCTCTGATTTAGGAGTCCTTTTTCTGTTTGATTTTGAGCTGACTGGTAGTATGAGCTGTATTGACATAGCATTCTGTTTACTTATGTCTTGGAACTTCTCCTTTTCTTTCCATAGTCACGTATGGGTGTCTGTGCTCAGGAATCAAAGCCTTTGCCTCTTCTTTCTTTTCCTCCACTGTTTTCTCAGTGCCTAAGCATAGGTTATGCCCATAGTATGTATTTAGTAGCTACATTCTTTCAATAATATTTTCATTTGTATGTTTTGCAGATGTTTTTAGAGTGCCTACTATGTGCCTTTACTGAGGTATATGAGGTTCTGAGGATACAGAGATGACAATAACGTAATTTCCTGTGCTTAAGGTGTTTGCTGTTGTTTAGAGGAGAAACATCTCTTTAAAGGAAAAACATTGCGGTATGATATGATCAGTATTCTCACAGAGCTTTACTCACCCATGATACAAGCTTGAGCATAAAATCACCTATCTCACAGAGTTACTGAGTAGGGTAAATGTGATAGTGTGTGGAAAGCACCTAACTGTAGTAGTCTCTGGCACATAGTAGGTTGCCAATCAATGGCAGCCATTATAATTCATAAAGCACAGTGAGTTCACAAAGAAGGAAGAGAACACATTGTCCTGGGCCATTTCAGTAACGAATCTCAAGTGACCTGGCACCAGTGAGGCAGGCTCTACCACGGGCTGAATGGGGACCCCACTTCCTTCTCACCTGTGTGGTGTCCAATGATATGCTAGAATTGAATTCTCAGATGTATCTTTTCAATGACTCATAAATGCCTGTAAGTACCTGGAGGGCAGGTGCTGTGATTAGAAAAATCTTTATTTCCCGGCAGTCTTTGAGAAATCTGTAAATGTCTATTGAGTGCATTAGGTTTTAGAATAAATTCATAGGCTATAGGAGATACTTCTTTGGAATATTAGTGTGATTTTAATTGCTAGGTTTTTGCAAATAAAATAGACAAAGGTCTGAGGAAGGCATCCTTCCATTTGGAATTTGGTACAACTAGCCATCTTTGTCCCACGTTTTGTTTTTGAGGTGGCAGCCTGATCAAATATAGGTTGAACTATAGAATGCAGTTAGCTCTTGAAGCATCTGATAAATGCAGAAACAGAAAAGATGAGGCCAGCAGGGGTCAGTTTAATACCAGTTTAAGTTGCAAGCACAGTGTTTTTTTAATTCTCTGTAAAGTGGAATGATAATAGAAACTGACATGCACAGTCTAAATGTAAGCTTTAACATTTCAAGCTACAGTAGGAGATTGCCAAAAATTGAGGTAGATGTCTTTAACATTCTTTTAAAGAGAGAAATGGAGATTTCACTGTGTTGCACTGGCTGGACTCGAACGCCTGGGCTCAAGCAATCCTCCTGCCTCAGCCTCCCAAGTAGCTACTGTGCCCAGCTTCTCTAAGATTTTTAAGTAGATGATGGAGATTATTAGTGACAGAAGGTAAACTATGGAATGTGGATAGTTTAGCTCTCTTTTCTGTCGCATGGCAGCATAGGACTTTCAGCCAAACCGATTTACTCCACTAACTGGCTTGTACTGACAAGTGCTAGAAAAAGCCTGACTATATCATGTGCATTTCTTTGATGTTCGTTACTTGGTAGACTTTATAAAATAATACTTTGTGCCTATTTTTTTCCTAGCTGGTTATAAAGAAAAGTTAGTTTTAGTTATAGCTTGCATATGAAATGTCAATATTTCCAAGTTACAGTTATAAGAAACTGAGCATGGAATGATTACTTGAGGACATTAAACTTTAAATAAAATCACCTCATGCTACTATATATATTCCTTTGTTATCTTCGTGGATATGAATGGCCTTTTCTTTGCAACCTAATGTATGGCATTCACATTTATAAGACTAGGCTCCCAAATCCTAAGAACATCGTGTGTGCTAAACTCAGAATTCTGCATACTAATCTTACTTACTACGAGTAAGTACTCTTAGCAGATAAAATTGTTTTCTTGATGCCTTAGTACACTTTCCCCCCAAGATACTATAATTGTTCAACTAAAGATTTTTATATAATGTAGAATGATAGACTCTTAGACCTGGAAGACGCCTTAAGGATCATAAAGCCTTGTTTTATAGAGAAGTTGTGTGATGCGTCACAGGCAGGGCTGTCCCTGGCAGAGCAATTCACACTTCTTGGACTGTTCTTCCCCATGGTACTACACTATCGTCTTTTCTCTCCCTACTCTATTCTTCCCTGTTCAATAGTCTGCATATTTGAGCTTCCTGCTAAATATGTTATAGAGGTTAAATAACTGCCTTTGTCTTGCATCCCACTTCCTCTTTAGCTGTAGAGTAGAACCCCATGCACATAACCATTGGTCTCAACAATCTTTTTTTTTGTTTTTGTTTTTGTTTTGAGAAGGAGTCTTACTCTGTCGCCAGGCTGGAGTGCAATGACATGATCTTGGCTCATTGCAACCTCCGCCTCCCGGGTTCAAGTGATTCTCCTGCCTCAGCCTCCCAAGTAGCTGGGATTACAGGCACGCGCCACCATGCCCAGCTAATTTTTGTGTTTTTAGTAGAGATGGGGTTTCGCCATGTTGGCCAGGCTGGTCTGGAACTCCTGACCTCAGGTGATCCACCCGCCTCAGCCTCCCAGAGTGCTGGGATTACAGGTGTGAGCCACCGCGCCCGGCTGGTCTCAACAATCTTACATTGTAGCTTAAGTGGCTCTTTGGGATTGTTGTGTCATGTCCACTGGGGCCACTTAGAGCCAAGGGGTGTGTGTCTCCACAGAAGGGAGTAAGGCCCTGGCTTTAAAGGACAGTAGGTACTGTTCTCCAGTGCTCTTAGAACTGTTGTGAAGTCTGTGAGTCACATGTAGTAGCACTTTAGGGCCTAGAGGATGCTGGACTTGAGTGGTTGCTCCTGTCATGGTGTCAGGAAGGAACACAGGGCAGCATGACTTGTTAAAGAAGTTGCTGCATGATCCTGACAACAGTCAGGCAGCTCTGCCTAGCGCTTGTGTTCTGAAAATGCCGACTTTATTGGGTGTATTGTTTTTTCTTTTTAACCATTTAGGTATCTTCTCCTCTGTTTATATTTTTTATTTTGTATAATGAATTATCACATACTTTGTGGCCTAAAGCAGCATATATTTTTTAATCGTATGGTTTCTGTGGGTCAGGTGTCCACACACACCTGGATCCTCCATGTAGGGTCTCATAAAGCTCTCGTCAAGGTGTCAGCTGGGCTGTGTTCTCGTATGGAAATCCGGGGAAGAAGCCACTTCCCAGCTCGCTTGGGCCACTGAAAGAATTTATCTCCTTGCATCAGTAGGACTCAGGGCCCTGGCTTCTTGCCGGCTCTTGGCTGAAGTCTACCCACAGTTCCTGGAGACCACCCACAGTTCCTTCTCAGGTAGGGCTTTCCCCACATGACCATGTACTTTATTAAGTCAGCAAGAAGAGCTTCTAGTGAAGATCTGATGGCAAGATGGAGTTTTATGAAATGTAATTGGCAGGAGTGACATATACCTTTGCCATATTCTGTTAGAAGCAAGTCACAGATCATGCCCATACATAAGGGGCAAGGCGAGGGGATTGTACAAAGGCCTGCACACCCCAAGGAGGTAGCTAGGTGTCTTAGGGGAGGGGCCAACTTAAAGTTTGTCTTCTCAGCTTTTTTTTTTTTCTTAAACAGAGGGGAGACGGAAAGGGACATCGACATACATGAGAGTAACCCAGGAGATTTGTTCCTGGGTTTCACATTCACAGCACTTGTGGGCCTCCAGGCCGACCTGAGGCATTGAAAATCCCAGTTGTTGGTTTGGTCTGTGCTGAGCTCCTTACTCACCTTTTAAAGTTGGCTGTTTGCAGTTGTACTCCCTTCCTCATTTCTGTTTTCTTTGTACCTTTTTATTTAAATAAACTTTAAGTATATACTTTGGGTATTAACAAATATGTATGCCATGAATATAATATACGATGATTATCATGGCAATGAAGATACAGAACTTTCCGTGACCCCAAAAGTTGCCATATGTCCCTTTGGTATCAATCCTCCTACACGTCTGGCTGCAGCAACCACTGATCTGCTTTGTATCTATAGATGACTTTTGTCTGTTTTGAATTTTGAAGAAATGGAACTGTACGTTATAGACTGTGGTCTGACTCTTTTCACTTAGCATAATGATTCTGAGGTTCATCCATGTCGTTTGTGTCAGTAGTTTGTTCCTCTTTATTACTGAGCGGTGGTCTGTATTGGGATAACACAATTTGTTTATCCATTCACCTGCTGATGAACATCTGTGTTGTCTCCCCTGATTAGGTATTGTGAATAAAGCTGCTGTGAATATTCATGTATGAGTCTTTGGGTGGACATGTGGTTTATTTCCCTTGGATAAATACCAGTAGTGAGATTGCTGGGTCATATAAGAGCATTTTTGTTGTTGTTGTTGGTGGTGGTGGTGGTGGTGTTTGCTTGTTTTTACATGTTAAAATAAGATACAGCCAAACTATTTTCCAAAGTGATGATGCATTCCAGTCAGCAGTTGCTCCGCACCTTCACCAGCATTTGATGTAGTCTCTTTTTAATTTTAGCCATTGTAACAGTGTGCAAGGACGTTATATTGTGGTTTTAGTTGGCATTTCCTTGATAAATGATGTTGAGCGTTTTATATATAGGCTTATTGGTCATTTGTACATCTTCTTTTCTGAAACCTTGCACTTTTTTTTTTTGAAACAAGGTTGCCTAAGCTGAATGCATTATTTCAACTATTTACAAGTTCACAAAATAACACCTTTTTAATGTATATTTGCTCACATATTAATGTAGTAAACATATTATTTACCATGTGCTAATCACTTTACACATACTGGCTTATATGTACATCTCCATATTAGACATATGAGATTAGTACTTTCATTACCCCCATTTTGCAGATGGGAAACTGAGACCTAGAGACATTAAATAACCTGCCAGTGTTAATACGGCTAGTGAAAAAACGGAGTTAGTATTCAAACATGGGCATCAGACTCCACTAGAAACATTAAATAACCTGCCAGTGTTAATACGGCTAGTGAAAAAACGGAGTTAGTATTCAAACATGGGCATCAGACTCCACTAGAAACATTAAGTAACTTGCCAGTGTTAATACGGCTAGTGAAAAAACAGAGTTAGTATTCAAACATGGGCATCAGACTCCACTACAGACATTAAATAACCTGCCAGTGTTAATACGGCTAGTGAAAAACAGAGTTAGTATTCAAACGTGGGCATCAGACTCCACTAGAAACATTAAATAACCTGCCAGTGTTAATACGGGTAGTGAAAAAATGGAGTTAGTGTTCAAACATGGGCATCAGACTCCACTAGAAACATTAAATAACTTGCCAGTGTTAATACGGCTAGTAAAAAACAGAGTTAGTATTCAAACATGGGCATCAGACTCCACTACAGACATTAAATAACCTGCCAGTGTTAATACAGCTAGTGAAAAAACAGAGTTAGTATTCAAACATGGGCATCAGACTCCACTAGAAACATTAAATAACCTGCCAGTGTTAATACGGGTAGTGAAAAAATGGAGTTAGTATTCAAACATGGGCATCAGACTCCACTAGAGGCATTAAATAACTTGCCAGTGTTAATACGGCTAGTGAAAAAACAGAGTTAGTATTCAAACATGGGCATCAGACTCCACTAGAAACATTAAATAACTTGCCAGTGTTAATACGGTTAGTAAAAAACAGAGTTAGTATTCAAACATGGGCATCAGACTCCACTACAGACATTAAATAACCTGCCAGTGTTAATACGACTAGTGAAAAACAGAGTTAGTATTCAAACTTGGGCATCAGACTCCACTACAGACATTAAATAACCTGCCAGTGTTAATACGACTAGTGAAAAACAGAGTTAGTATTCAAACATGGGCATCAGACTCCACTACAGACATTAAATAACCTGCCAGTGTTAATACGACTAGTGAAAAACAGAGTTAGTATTCAAACATGGGCATCAGACTCCACTAGAAACATTAAATAACTTGCCAGTGTTAATACGGCTAGTAAAAAACAGAGTTAGTATTCAAACATGGGCATCAGACTCCACTAGAGGCATTAAATAACTTGCCAGTGTTAATACGGCTAGTGAAAAAACAGAGTTAGTATTCAAACATGGGCATCAGACTCCACTAGAGACATTAAATAACTTGCCAGTGTTAATACAGCTAGTAAAAAACAGAGTTAGTATTCAAACATGGGCATCAGACTCCACTAGAGGCATTAAATAACTTGCCAGTGTTAATACGGCTAGTGAAAAAACAGTTAGTATTCAAACATGGGCATCAGACTCCACTAGAAACATTAAATAACTTGCCAGTGTTAACACGGCTAGTGAAAAACAGAGTTAGTATTCAAACATGGGCATCAGACTCCACTAGAGACATTAAATAACCTGCCAGTGTTAATACAGCTAGTAAAAAACGGAGTTAGTATTCAAACATGGGCATCAGACTCCACTAGAAACATTAAATAACTTGCCAGTGTTAATACAGCTAGTAAAAAACAGAGTTAGTATTCAAACTTGGGCATCAGACTCCATATCTTTGTTGTTGGCCAGGAGCAGGCAAACTATAAGCCTGGGTGCCAGAATGAGCCATGCCGTTCTTGTATGTATCATGTCTTGTCTATTGTTACAGCAGCAGAGCTGAGTAGTTTCGGTAGAGATGGTTTGGCCTGTGAAGGCTGCCCTTTACAGAAAACAGTTGCCTGCCCCTGCTCTTGCGCATTGTATTTTGTCTTCACTGTTCCTGCCTTCTTGTCTGGTTCTAAGGAATGAAAGGAGGACACCAGCTCAGATTTCCTAAAAATGTCTTTATATATAATTTTTAAAAATTCTCAAAAAAAATCTGCCTATAAAAGTCAAAAGGATGAAAATGAATGTAGCAGGAACAACTGTGAGGTGTCCCAGCTACAGTAGTCATTGAGTTTTTTTGCATAAAAATACGATTGTAAAGATAGATTCCATAAAATGTGATGTTCTTTGTCCTGGTACTGACCCCGGTAGAGTGTTGCCTATGTTTTTGGCTTAACATTTATAGGGCATTATTTGAAAAACTGAATTCTGATCCAAGCAGAGATGAGGGGAACAAGGCTGAGACCTTAATTACTGGCTCTCTCTTGTCAGAGAAAGGTGCTTTTTGTCATATTCCCATGGGATTTGATTGACCTTCGGACGGCCTGTGTCTGTTAGGAGGCATTTCTATTTCTCAGGTTTGAGGGCTAGTCAGTAAAATTTGGATGAATTTGGACTGGATAGAGGGACTCAACCTGAATTGTGAAAATCCTGAGTTACAGAATTTTTAAAAGTTCTATGTTGTAGTTATATATAATAATTTAGCTATTTTAAAGCACAAAACAAATACGTGCACTTGGAGAATGGAGTCCACAGCATTCAGCAACAGTGGCCTGAAGCAGAGCCCCAGATAAAACACTGGGTTGAATGTCAGTGTGCTGACATCAGTGTTTTTTATTATATGACTGTGTTCTTTCTATAAAAATCAGGCATTGTGAGAAGCCCAGATGTGAAGCTTGGAACAATAAAACCAAAGGAAGAATACATCAGAGGTTTGTAAAACTTAGATAATATGGAAGTAATTAACCATTAGACTCACGATATGTTCTCTAACAGTAACCTTGAAACTCCATGTTTTGTGTCTAATGACTTCTAGGACACATAAAGACAAAAGGAAAGAATAATATGCTTTCAGAGCATGAAGAACTTGCTTTAGAGTCCCTGTGTCTTTTGACTCGAATACACAGGATTATTATATCATGCAGTTATGAATCTGAGGAAAGTATGACATGATCGATAGGTCTAATTCTAAAATATCTGATAAAGAAGTTAATACCAAAATTAGTGAGTTTCCTAACTTTAAAGTGAAATAACTAGATAAAGAAGAACTAAATGCAAAGCTAGCAGAAGGAAGGAAATAATAAAGATTAGAACAGTGTTAACTGAAATAGAGAATAGGAAAGCAATAGGAGAGATTAGTGGCCGGGCGCAGTGGTTCACGCCTGTAATCCCAGCACTTAAGGAGGCCGGTGGACCACGAGGCCAGGAGTTCGAGACCAGCCTGGCCAACATGGTGAAACCCTGTCTCTACTAAAAATACAAAAATTAGCAGGGTGTGATAGTGGGCACCAGTAATTCCAGCTACTCAGGAGGCTGAGGCAGGAGAATCGCTTGAACCTGGGAGGCAGAGGTTGCAGTGAGCCGAGATCGTGCCACTGCACTCCCACCTGGGCGACAAGACCAACACTCTGTCTTTAAAAAAAAAAAAAAAAAAAAAAAAAGATTAGTGAAACCAAAAGCTGCGTTCTTGAAAAGATTAACAAAATTGTCAAACTTGTAGATAGATGGACTAAGAAAAAAGAAGATTCCAATTGCTAAAATAAAAAATGACAATGGGGACATTACTGGGCCGGGCGTGGTGGCTCATGCCTGTAATCCCAGCACTTTGGGAGGCCGAGGTGGGTGGGTCACTTGAGGTCAGGAGTTTCAGATCAGTCTGGCCAACATGGTGAAACCCCGTCTTTACCAAAAATACAAAAATTAGCTGGGCACGGTGGCGGGCACCTGTAATCCCAGCTGCTCAGGAGGCCGAGGCAGGAGAATCACTTGAACCCGGGAGGCGGAGGCTGTAGTGAGCCGAGGTTGTGCCTCTGCACTCCAGCCTGGGAAACAGAGCAAGACTCTGTCCCCCCCCCAAAAAAAAGAAAAAAAAAAAAAAAAAGAAAACAGGGACATTATTATGAATCATACAGAATGAAAAAGGATTATAGGAGGGCATTAGGAAGAGTTGTATGACAACAAATTGAATACCCTAGATGAAAGGGACAAACTTCTGGAAATATAAAAAACTGTGAAAGACAAAAATTATGAAAATCTGAATGGACCTATACCTAGTTAGGAGATTGAATCAGTAATCAATAATCTCTCAACAGAGAAAAGCTGACTTGGAGGGCTTCACAGGTGAATTCTACCAAACATTTATAGAGAAGCTGATACTAATCTTTCTCAAACTTTTCCAAAGTATTGAAGAGGAAGAAATACTTCCTAATGCTTTTATTATGAGGCCAACATTACCCTGTTACCAAAGCCAGACAAAGATATTATGAGAAAAGAAAACTACAAACCAGTATCCCTTATGAACACTGATGTAAAAATTTTCAACAGAATACTAGCAAACCAAATTTAGCAGCATATTAAAAGGATTATACACCATGACCAAATGGCATTTATTCCCAGACTGCAAGAATGGTTCAAAATGTGAAAATCAATCAGTGTAATATATCATATAAACAGATTGTAGGGGGAAAAAAACCCCACGTGATCATCTGAATCGAAGCAGAAAAATCATTTTGACAAAATTCAATACCCTTTCATGACAAAAATCACTGAACACATAAGGAATAAAAAGAAACTACTTCAACATAGTAAAAGCCATATATGAAAAACCCATAGCTAACATCTTACTGGTGAAAGACCAAAAGCTTTTCCTTTAAGATTGAGGATGAGATAAGGATGCCTGCTTTTCACCACTTCTATTCAACATACTACTGAAGTTCTAGCTAGACCATTTAGGCAAGAAAAAGAAATAAAAGGCACACAAATTGGAAAGGAAGAGGTAAAATTATCTCTGTTCATAGATGATATGACCTTGTAGATAGAAAATCCTAAAGATCCCACAAAAAACTATCAATGCTAATAACTGAATTAAACAAAGTATTGGGGCACAACGTGAATACACAAAAATCCGTTGCATTTTTATACACAAACAAACAGTGAACAATCTGAAAAGGAAATTACAAAAACAATTCCATCCAAAAGAATAAAATACTTAGGAATTAACAAGGAGGTTAAAAACTTAACAATGAAAAGCAGAAAAACATTGCTGAAAGAAATTAAAGGCAACATAAATAAGTGGAAACATATCCCATGTTTGTGAACTGGAAGATTTAATATTGTTAAGATGTCATTACCTACCCAAAGGCCTCTACAGATTCAATGCGTTCCCTATCAAAATCGCAATGATGTTTTTTTGCAGAAAAGGAAAAAAAAATCTAAAATTTATATGGAATCTTGAGGGACTCCAAATAGCTAAAGTTATCTTGAAAAATAACATAGCTGGATGACTCAATGTGCTGATTTCAAAATTTGCTAAGAAGCTACTGTGACCAAAACAGTGTGTTACTGGCATAAAGACAGACATATAGACCAATGGAATCAACGGGAAAGTCCAGAAGTAAAACCTCACCTATATGGTCAAATGATTTTCGATGGGGGTGCCAAGACCCTTCAATGGAGAAAGCACAGTCAATTCAACAAATGGTGCCAGGACAACTGGGTATCCATATGCAAAAGAATGAAGTTGGACCTTTATCTAAGTTTGTATACAAAAATCAACTCAAAATGGATCAAAGACCTAAATGTAAGACCCCAAACTATAAAACTCCTAGAAAACATAGGGCAGAAGCTTCATGACATTGGATTTGTCAGTGGTATCTTGGGAATGACACCAAAGGAACAGGCAGCTAAAGAAAAAAAATAAACAAATTGTTCTTTATGAAAATTTAAAAAATTTGGTGCATCAAAAGACAGTATCAACAGTTAAAAGGTAACCCAGAGTATGGGAGAAGATATTTGCAAACCTTATATCTGATAATGGATCAATATCAAAATATATAATTAAGAACTCAACAATAGAAAAGCAACATGATTTTAAAATGGGCAAAGGACTTAAGTAGACATTTTTCCAAAGAAGATACGCCAATAAGCACATGAAAAGATGCTTAGCATCACTAATCATGACGGAAATGCAAATCAAAACTACAGTGAGATACCACTTCACACAAATTAGGATGACTGCTATTTAAAAAACCCCAGAAAATAAGTGTTGGGGAGGATGTGGGGAAATTGGAAGCCTTGTGCACTGCGTGGACGTGTAAAACTGTATAGCCACTGTGGCAAACAGTATGGCGGCAACTCAAAAATTTAAAAATAGAATTACTGTATGATCCAGCAATTCCATTTATGTGTATGTACCCAAAAGAATTGAAAGCAGGATCTCAAAGAGATGTTTGTATGCCAGTGTTCATAGCAGCACTATTCACAATGACTAAAATGTAGAAGCAACCCTCATGTCATTTATCTGAAAACAAAATGTGGTACATACATACATATCATAAAATGTCATTCAGCATTAAAAAGGAGGGAAATGAAGACACATGCTACAACATGGTTGAACCTTGAGGACATTATGCTAAGTGAAATAAGCCAGCCACATTAAAGACAAATACTATATGACTCCACTTTTATGAGATACTTAGAGGAGTCAAAATCTTAGAGCCAGAAAGTAGAATGGTGATTGCCAGAGGCTAGAAAGAAGGAGGGAACTGGAGTTACTGTTTAATGAATTTAGAGTTTCAGTTCTGCAAGATGAAAAGAGTTACAGAGATGGATGGTGGTGATGGTGCACAACATTATGAATGGATTTAGTAACACTAAAGTGTATACTTAACTATGGTTAAGATAGTAAATTTTTTATGCATATTTTATTGCAATAAAAAATGAAAACAGTTTCAATCTAGGAGGATTTTGGATGCATCTATGCCTTGAGAAATGAATGGTTTGATGTAAATGCATGGTAGCAAGAATAAATAATTATGTTAATTCATATAATATGTTATATATAGTTTTAAAGAAAATTCTATCACTGTCTTCCTATGGGTAGGGCTATAATGTCCAGTTCTTTCAGGGATTAAGAGGGTAGGGTCTGAAGTTAATCCTTGTTTGTCGTAATGTTATTAATTTATTCAACCAAGACTTAATTGAGAATGACCTAGCAAAAGAGACAATCTGTTCAAATTAACCAACTTGAGTACCATTTCAATTTGAAAACTCTGTCTCTGGTGTTGGAGGTCATTCTTCAGGAACCAACATGGTTCTTGGGAAGGTAAACCTCATGTACAAAGTCACTCAGGAATAATACTTGACCGCTGGGTGTGGTGGTACACGCCCGGAATCCCAGCACTTTGGGAGGCTGAGGCAGGAATATCACTTGAGTCCAAGAGTTTGAGACCAGCCTGGGCAACGTAGGAAGACAGCTTCTCTACAAAAAAGATTTTTTTTAAAATGAGCCAGGCAAGATGGCATGTGCCTGTAGTCCCGGCTGCTTACGGCTGAGGTGGGAGGATTGCTTGGGCTCGGGAGGTTGAGGTTGCGGTGAGCTGTGATTGCACCACTGCACTGTAGCCTGGGCAACAGAACAAGAGCCTGCCTCAAAAAACAAAACAAAACAAAACAACAAAAACAAAAAAAAAAAAGAAAAAAAAAGAAACAGAAAGAAAACAATAATATTTGACAGAATAAATTCCAGGGTCATACTGGAATATGGGGGAAGAGTATGAAAGTATGAATTGGACAGATAAGGATTCTAATCGTGGTTCTATCACCACCAGCTAATCTTCTGACCCTCCATTTCCTAACGTCAAAAATGAGAACATAATATCAGTGTCATAATGTTAAGAAGATTATATTCATTCTTATAAAGTGATAACTTAGAAGCCGTTCAATTCAGTATTTATTGAGTTACTAACACAGGCTCTTGCTGTGTTGTTAGTCGATCTACTAACTAAAGTGTGAGATCTGGAAAGGGTGGTATCAGCCAGTTTCAGAGAAAACAAAGGAAACTGGGAGGCTTCATGTAGTTGGGCCTTAACCCTGGGCCTTGAAGCATACATTTTAGATGGTATGGTGGGATTACAGTGGGATTACTGGCATTTAGTGGGATGGAAAAGGGAGAGATTTTATTTATTAATTAGATTCAGTTACGTGCTTATTATTCTTTACTGATTCTAATTTAGTAATGGGAACCTGTAACTTTTTACTCTTCAGCTACTTTAGGGTTAATTGGGTTAACGGTGATGAAGTTTGGATCATTTTATTAACAGTGATAGTGTTGCAGGACCCCAAGGGAGGGCTCTTGGATCTGGCGCGAGAAAGAATTCAGGGCGAGTCCATGGTGCACAGTGAAAGCAAGTTTATTAAGAAAGTAAAGGAATAAAAGAACGGCTACTCCATAGACAGAGCAGCCCTAGGGGCTGCTGGTTGCCCATTTCTTTCTTTTCTTTTCTTTTCTTTCCTCTTCTCTTTTCTTTCTTTTTTTGATGGTGTCTCGTTCTGTCACTCAGGCTGGTGTGCAGTGGCGAGATCTTGGCTGACTGCAACCTCCGCCTCCCAGGTTCAAGCTATTCCCCTGCCTCAGCCTCCCGGGTAGCTGGGACTACAGGTGTGTGCCACCATGCCCGGCTAATGTCTTTTTTTTGTGTATTTTAGTAGAGACGGGGTCACCATATTGGTCAGGATGGTCTGGATCTCCTGACCTTGTGATCTGCCTGCCTTGGCCTCCCAAAGTGCTGGGTTTACAGGCGTGAGCCACTGCGCCTGGCCGGTTATTTCCTAATGATATGCTAAACAAGGGGTGGATTATTCATGCCTCCCCTTTTTAGATCATATAGGGTAACTTCCTGATGTTGCCATGGCATTTGTAAACTGTCATGGGGCTGGTGGGAGTGTAGCAGTGAGGACGACCAGAGGTCACTCTCATGGACATCTTGCTTTTGGTCTGATTTGTCCGGCTTCTTTACAACCTGTTTTATCAGCAAGGTCTTTATGACCTTTATCTTGTGCCGACCTCCCATCTCATGCTGTGACTTAGAATGCGTTAATTGTCTGGGAATGCAGCCCAGTAGGCCTCAGCTTCATTTTACCCAGCTCCTGTTCAAGATGGAGTTGTTCTGGTTCACACGCCTCTGACAATACAATTCCCAATTGATAAGTGATACCTTGGAATCAGTGTGAATTATTTTTACACTACTGCACACCTGGGAATGGTGAATGTGTGAGGCCTGTCCTCTCTCAGGCTCATAGGAAAAGACAGAAATGATCTTGCTTCTTTAGGGATTGACAGAACAAAGACAAAGGACCCTAGACTTTGGGAATAGAAATCTGTTGAAATGAGCTGGAATTGGTAAAATAATTGATTTTGTTTATGAATTGATAAAAGCCTACTTTCAATTCATCAAATATTGTTGAGCATGCAACAGTATGCTCCCGTACCTAAGGTGCAGTCTCTGCCTTAGAGTTGTAATCCAGGAAGGGGCTGCAAGAGAGACTCAGAAGATGTGGTCTGACAATATATAAGCACAATGTCTGACCCTTAAAGAATGACAGGATTTCAACAGGCAGACAGGAGAGGAGGAGGAATTCTAAGCAAAGGCTTTCACATGTAAACGGTGAATTCTTAGATAAGATCTGTTTTCTATATACCAGGAACAGTTTGCTGGCATTTGAGGACGAGGAGTAAGTTCAAATGAAAACTTTAAAATGTTTCCCCAAAGTGTTCATATGAAATTTTAAGGATGTGCCTATGGACTGGGAATAATCAAATAACATAAAATAAACATAAATAACATAAACCATAAAATAATACCATTTTTTTTCTACTTTTAAAATTGGGCCCAGAATATAGCTTGCAGTGTTTTCTTAATTGATAAAACTTCAGTTCATCACCTTCAATTAATATGTTAATGCATGACCATTTGCTTTGTATATATCTAGGCTATATTTATAATTGTGGTCTGTCTTCTTTGGCCAAGTATGTATGTATTCCGTTATCTCTTAGCTCCTTTGTATTCAGGCTATGCACATTTATTATAATATTGCTCTATTCCATCTTTAATTAGGCAAGCAAATATTCTAATAAAAAGTTTCAAAGTGAATTTTGCATTATCCAGTACTAGATACATATTCTGTAACTTTGGGGCAAGATATTTGCCAGGCTTATAAAACTAGATATAACTATCCATAAATAAAATTGCCTCAATAAGATTTAATGGAAGAGAATTAAGAAGCTGTGGAAAATGAATAAGAAAAGGAAAAAAATATTATTTTCGCAGTTTACTTTTTTTTTTACTTGGGATCATATTCTTTTCTGAGGTTTTACTCGAAAAAGTATTTTCTCTGTCATTACTTTCTTTCTCTCTCTATCTTTCTCTTCTCTCTCTCTCTTTCTCTCTTTCTTTCTGTCTTTCTTTCGGCTGGAGTGCACTGGTGCAATCTCGGCTCACTGCAACCTCCACCTCCCGGGTCCCAGTTAAGCAATTCTCCTGCCTCAGCCTCCCTAGCAGCTGGGATTACAGGTGTGCACCACCATGCCCAGCTGATTTTTGTATTTCTCATTACTGTTTCAGAGACTATTCAGAGAGTATTCAGTGTTATAGTATTTTCCTTAAATAAGATTATCACTTAGGGATTTGGAATCACGTTAATAAAATTATTCAACATACTTTTACTGAGTAACTACTCTGTACCAGGTACCGTTGGAACATATAAAGATGAATAAGACTTCACTATCGGCATACCAAAACATTCTATACTCAATATATTAATACTCTAATAATAATAATGTGAACAAAATACTTTAGGAATACAGAGGAAGGAACTGTTAATTCTGTCACGCAGTTTGGACATTAGAGTTGGTCCTGGTAGGATGAATATAAAGTTGCCCGATTAAAAAAAGATGGGATGGATGGACAGGGCATGACATTCCCAATAGAGTTCTTTCCCTGTTTTTTACAAAAAAAGAAAGCCAAACTTCCTAGGAATCATAACCTTTGATACATTGTAAACAAAATGTTTAGTAGATGACTATGAAGGATGGACTCAAATGGAAGAGTGGTTAAAGGGGATTTGTGGGGTTCCCTTTTAAAATCAGGTGTTCAGCAAACAAGAACTAAAAAGATTAGTGGGATCTTGAACAAATGATTGCGAGCTCAAAATTCTAAGGAAGGAACTCAGTTGCACCTGCTTTTTTGTAATAGCAAATACAAGGACCTTCAGTGTTAAAAACATTCATGAGAGATTAGCTAACACAGAACAGAAGATTCTCAAACCCAATAGCTTGAGGAGAAAATCCATCTTCTCATTAACTGGAAGATTGTCAATATAAGGAGATGGGAGTAATTCTCAGTTACTTTCATATAATCCTACTTTAAAAAGCAAGCACTGCGGGAGTATTTTCTGTTGATCCGTTGGTTCAAAAAGATGCTCTCACAGGAGAAGGCTCATACAGGCTGGATGATGAGCTCATTATTAAGACATGTGATGGTCACTGGATCCCACAATATTTCTGACATGTTTATTCCTCTTGCTGATTTTCTGACTTTTTATTGTTGTTTTGTTTATACTGAGAGCTGCTGACATGTGAATATCCCAATAGCTATCATCCCTGAAAGATGTGCTTTTTAAGAATGAAGACTGCAGTTTTTCTGGAGTCAGCCTCTTGTCTCTTTCTCCTGGCTCACACTTCACAAAATGAGAATTTTTTCTTAAGACAAACAAACAACAACAACAAAAAAAACGAAGCAGAACTGGATATAGTGGCTCATGCCTATAATCCTAGCACTTTGAGAGGCCAAGGAGGGAGGTTTGCTTGAGGTCAGGAGTTCAAGACAAGCATGGACAAGAAAGTGAGACCCTGTCTATTACAAAAAAAAAAAATACAAAAATTAGCTGGGTATGTTGGCATACTCCCACATCCTAGCTACTTGGGAGGCTGAGGTGGGATCACTTGAGCCCAGGTGTTTGAGGTTACAGTGAGCTATGCTCACACCCTGGTACTCCAGCCTGGTCAACAGAGAAAGACCCTGTCTCGAAAAATAATAAAGATACACTGACCAGAAGCTTCAGTCTGATCCATTGTCAATAAAGAACAGTGCAAGAGCAATTAATATTTTACAAAATCAAAAAAGAAAAGCTAGCAGGATTATTTCATTAGCATGCTTCTCTTCATATGCACCTTTGATTTAAAAATCACTCTCCTGTAGTTTTTTATTTCTTCACAATTATCAGTTGGAAACTAAATTTGTTCATCTCGTAATAAGACTGATTCTGTATGCATCATAGAATTGCAAACATTAAGTAACAAAGTCCATGTAAAGTGTTTAGAACATAGCACTTAGTAAATAGTGGTTATTATTGTTGTCACTATCCCCACTGTCTTTCTTTGTAGATATTTACTTTCACCTTTTCTTCTATAGCAGAGCCACTAACAGGTAATAGAGAAGTAACTAGTTAGATCTTAGGAATTTAAGAAGCACTTCAAGATGTGGACAGAAAAGGATTTGGTTCAGATTGCATACTCTTAGGCTATGGAGATGGTACCTGCAATTCCCATAGAATGTGTATAAAGCACTGTATTGCATTAGAGGCCATGGGATTACAAAAGCTATTCTTTGTAAGACATCTTAGAATGTTGTTGATGTGTGAGAATAAAATCATATTGAAAAAATATAGAAAAGTTACCGTCTTTCATCAGTTCTAAGATGCAGGGTCTCACCATCTTGCCCAGGCTGGTCGTGAACTTCTGGGCTGAAGCCATCCTCCTACCTTGGCTTCCCAAAATGCTGGGATTATAGGTATGAGCCATTGCACCCAGCTAATTGTTTTTGTTTTAATCAATTACCATATTTTTAGCACTGCTGTGGCTTATGCTTTGTTCCTTTTTACTACTACTTGCTTTGAATGATGCTTAAAATGGACCCTTAGGAAGATGACTGTATTGAATTATTATATTCAGAACAATTGATATACTAATTTAAAAAGAATATACAGTCCCAAGTGATAGAATAAACAAGAGTTACTGCTTAGTATACAATAAATTTTGTATTCATTTGATTTCCCTCAGAAGTCTGTATTCGAAATCTGAGTTTCCTTCTATTTATATGTAGGTTACAAAGTTTTTAAAAAGGCAACAAAAAAAAAAACATTTATTTCTGCTCTTCTTAGGCAATATGGCCTTTTGGCTAGAACTCAGAAATTAAAAGCTTGATTTGTTGGTTGTGTAGGCATCTTATATCTAAGGAATTATTTTGGCTTAATTTGGGGATAAAATATTAATTACACCTAATAAGCAGAAATGTAATTATTTAAGACAGTTACTGTCTTACACATTTTTCACTTAAGATATGAAGAAGTGGTTAACGTAATTTCTTCTTCTGGGACTTAAAAGAAATGTTCAAATTAACCACTATTTAGGTTTGATCATGCCTTTGGAAGGAATTGGTATTATCCTTTGAAAATGAAAAGGCATAATTTGTTGAAGGTACATAGAATTGTACAAAAAGAAATCAGTAATTTTCCCATTTTTACTATTAAGTTATATCATAAGCAGCTATTTTGAATGACAGTATGAAAAAGTATGTTTGTGTTTTAAGGAGGCTGTTTTTGAATTAGGAAAGATAAATACGCTGGTATGAAGATCAGCTCATTCAGGAGCAGGCATTTTCCTGCATACTAAGGAGCTTTAAAGGTTAGACAGTAAAAAGAAGGTGATCATTATGTAGTCTGCTCCACCTCATGCCTACCAGAAAATTTATTTCCCAGCCTCCCTAACTTTTCTACTTCAATATACAGCTAACTGTTAATGAGCCCTAACTCTGACCTGGGTATGTGCCCAGGTCACATACATCCTGTCATTTAGTCCTCACCATAATCTCTGAGTGCACAGTAGATGCTGTTAGAATTATCTGTATTTTATAGTACAGAAACAGCCTCAGAAAAGTGAAATAACTTCCCTCAAAATAAGGTAGCTAGTAAATGGCAGAGCTAACATTCAACCTTATCCATGTCTGACTACAAAGTAATCCATCCATTACTTACCTTTTTTCATGGTAAGCTTTTGCTTTTTGGTCAACACTATGCATTGTGCCTTGAGTACATGTACCAACATTGGAAGACCATTCCCATGTGATATTTGTAATAGAATTAGGTATTCAAATCACGCATTCTTGAGACAATTAAAGAATGTAGGATTTATTTACATACAAAGTTGAGAGAATGTGCATCATGCTGTGTCAGGCTTCCTTTCCATGATTCTGTTAGTTTTCAGTGCAGGTATTTGCCACCTGACTTGGGTTTCCTAGATGTCTATAATCAATGAAATATTTTCTCTTTTGAAAAACTATTTTTAAAATACATGTTTTAACAGTGTTGAATTACAAGATGTTTTAAGATAATATAAACCTGGACCCAAATTTCTATGTAAATGTTTATTTTATAGAGACAAGTAAATTAACCAAATAATTCAGTGAATCTTCATTGAGAACCTAATATGACCTAGGTACTGTGCTAGGTGTCAGAGACCGGCTATATGGTTTAGTAGAAAGAGAAATGGTAGACGCTGTGCCAAGCATAGTGCCTGGAACAAGCAGAAAGTCCATAAGAAATATATGTTAACTGAAAGGAAGAACAAAATGGAAACTGTGTCTGTCTGAGTCACCCAAATTAGTAATGTCTGTGAGTTTATTTCCTCATCTGAAATGAAGGGTAATAAAACCTACCTCAGAAGGATTGTTGTCAAGATTAAACGAGTTAAGATATGGGAATATGTCCAGAACTGTGTTTGGTACATATTAGATGTTTAATAATTGTTAGTCATAGTGCGAAAAATAAGTAACACATTATTCCCATTCTCAAGCAATGTCAAGATTTAAAATCGGATTCTTATCCACCATATCGTTAGACTTCAGTTGCCTTGTTCTTCTATTTGCTTTATTCTGCCTGAGCTTCACTAACAATCCACAGGGCTTTTGGACTCTACAAAGAAAACACACACACAAAAATATCATACACTCTTCTATATCTACTCACATCTGCACTCAAATTTAATTCTGTTCTGTGAAAAAGAAAATCGGCACAAAGTTATTGCTTAATACTGTCAAATACTTTTTAAAATTAGTTGCCCTCTGTAACAATAGGAGAGCATGGAAGAATAAACAAGCAGCAGAATGATGTCAGAGAAACTTTGGCCACAGAAGGAGATCAGTAGGTATTGGAATTTGAACAGCTTATTTTTCACTTACTTCTATACACAATATGGATCTTACAGATTTATTGTAACTTTTTTCTCCGATTTAAGAATTGCCAGAAATAAAGCTGAGTGACAAGAAAAGGATGTGTGTACATGAGACAGAGGGCGCTGTTTATGCCCATCTGTACAGAATGTCATTCGTTTTAAATATGATTTTCCTCTTTTTCCTCACAGAAAGAGAAAATGGTATATTTCTCCTTCTATGCAACAGAGAACTGATTTTTTTTTTAAATTCTTATTACTGTTTTTTTTTGAAGTATAATAGAAACAAAGCAGTGTTTTTCTTTGTTAAGGTCAGTTCATGTTTTAGTAATGTGTCTTGAGCTTTCTGTATTTTCTGAGCTAACCATTTAAAAAATTTTGACTTCTACACCAATTATTTTATGTGTGATTGTTTAAATTCTATGGGTCTTGTTGATGACCTTCCTATATTTATTGTCATTGAAAACATTCAATATGTAAATATAATAAACGATTATATCTTTAAGAAAATAAAAGTTTTCTAAAATTAAATGTGAATTATCATTAAAGCATAAAATGCTGTGACTATAAGGTAACATTAAAAAAAAAAAACAAAGAGAGCTGGGTGCGGTGGCTCATGCTTGTAATCCCAGCACTTTGGGAGGCTGAGGAGGGTGGATCCTGAGGTCAGGAGATCGAGACCATCCTGGCTAACACGGTGAAACCCAGCTCTACTAAAAATACAAAAAATTAGCCAGGCGTGGTGGCGGGCGCCTGTAGTCCCAGCTACTTGGGAGGCTGAGGCCGGAGAATGGTGTGAACCCAGGAGGCGGAGCTTGCAGTGAGCTGAGATGGTGCCACTGCACTCCAGCCTGGGTGACAGAGTGAGACGCCGTCTCAAATAAACAACAACAACAACAACAACAACAACAAAACCCAGAAAGAGATGACTTCCAGCCAGAAGGCGAGACTCTGTGGGAAAAGCCTTCCTTCTAAGGGGAGGGTTTGGGCTGCTATTTTTCTTACTTTCCTTGAGAGCAGCTTCAGGACTGTACTTGGGTCACTCTACAAGCTGTTTCCTTTATTTTTTCTCTCTCAACAAAGATTTACCTGTCCATTTATAAAGTGCAGATTGTTTCTCTAAGATGGCAGATAAGAGGCTTGTAGCATGCCTCAGCCACTTGGAAATGGCTAGATAGTGCATGAAGATAAACTGTATGAGCTTTTTTTCAAGAAGGAAAATGGGGCTGGGCGCAGTGGCTCACGCCTGGTAATCTAGCACTTTGGGAGGCTGAGGCGGGTGGATCACGAGGTCAAGAGATCGAGACCATCCTGGCCAACATGGTGAAACCCCATCTCTACTAAAAATAGAAAAATTAGCTCTGTAGGCCCAGCTACTCAGGAGGCTGAGGCAGGAGAATCGCTTGAACTTGGGAGGCAGAGGTTGCAGTGAGCCAAGGTCGGGCCATTGCACTCCAGCCTGGTGATAGAACAAGACTCTGTCTCAAAAAAGAAACAAACAAACAAAAAACAACAACAACAACAACAACAAAAGGAAAATGGGAATCCACTGGAATCGTGAGGGACACCCAGATCCTGGTGAGCAGAACACTGGCAAACAACCTCTGCGACAGTGTCTGGTGGATAAAAAAGATCCTGGTGTAGGGAGGCCCTTTCTGCTTTACACCTAGGCAGATCTCCAGGCATTTGGAGCACCTGCTTATCTGGTTCAGCAGCCTGAGCCACGCAACTCTTCCTGTGGGACAGTGGGACCCTCTCTGCTCTAAGCCCAGGCAGGTCTGCAGGCATTTGGAGCACAAGCTTACTTGGGTCAGTAGCCCGAGCTGCTCCATCCTTCCCGTGCAGAGATCCTCATATAGGGGGACTCTCTCTGCTCCATGCCCAGACAGATCTCCAGGTATTCAGAACACCTGCTTGCCTGGTTCAGCAGTTCGAGTCACCCTACCCCTTTTATGCAGAGATCTTGGTTCAGGGGGAGCCCACTATACTACACACCTAGGCAGAGCTCTTCTGGATTTGGAGTTTAGGGCATCCCCCATTCCTGTGTAGAGAAGTTGATGCTGAAGAGGTTTCCCATTCCTGTGCAGAGAACTTGATACTGAGGAGCTCCATGCCTAGGCATACCTCTGGGTGCTTGGTAGCCACCCATTGGATTCTCTGTCAGTGCTGGTGCTTGTGCCTGTATCAGGGGACCTTTAGGTGGACCTGACCAGTCTGGCCCCATGCCCTTGGGGCTGAGCAGGGAGCTCAGACCACTATGCATTCTATGTATCAGCCCATTGTCTGAGGCAACAGAGAACTTCTGCCAGTAAACAAGGATCAAGTATCCAGCTACATTGGCTGCAACTGGCTCTTACCTATAAGCATCATCTACTGGCATGTAGATTGAACTGCACAGCCTGATACAAAACCTACCAGAAGAACTGGTAGAAACAAAACCAAAGGCAGAGCAAAGATAGAAGCAAAACAAATAGATCTTACCCAAAATAATCTGTAGTCATACCCATAGGAAGCAGGGGAAAGGGAAAGAGAAGGAAAAAAAACCCAGTAACATTATAGAGGAAGAAAAGAGAAAGAAACATCCTACCTACATGAAAATAATTACAAAAATTAGAAGTGCTAGCATCTTCAGCTGAGAAAGAATCAGCACAAGATTACTGGCACCATTAAAAATCTGAATGTAGTAACACCACCAAAGGATTGCACAAGCTTTCCAGAAATGGTTCCTAACCAAAATGGAAACTCAGATATGACAGATAAGTAATTCAAAGCATGAATTGCAAGGAAGCTCAATGAGATCCAAGACAAGACTGAAAATCAGCACAAAGAAGCTTCTAAAGCTATCCAGGGAATGAAGGAAGAGATAAATATCTTAAAAAGAAATCAACCAGTTCTGGAATTGAAAAACTCACTTAAGAAATTTAAAAATACAATTCAAAGTTTTATTAATGGTTTGGACCAAGTAGAAGAAAGAATTTCAGAACTTGAAGATCAGTCTTTTGAATTAACCCAGTCAGACAAAAAGGAAGAAAAAATAATTTAATAAAATAAACAGTCTTTGAGAAATATGGGATTATGTAAAGTGACCAAAACTACAAATTATTGGCATTACTGAGAGAGAAGGAAAAAAATAAGCAACCTGGAAAACAAATTTGAGGAATTAAAGAAAATTTCCCTAAGCTTGCTAGAGAGGTAGACATCCAGTTACAAGAAATCCTGAGAACACCTGTGAGATACTATACAAAATGAACATCACTAAGTCATATAGTCACCAAACTGTTCAAGGTCGGTGCTAAAGAAAAATATCTTAAAGGCAGCTAGAGAAAAAGGTCAGATTTTGTACAACAGGAGCCCTATCAGGCCAACAGCAGACTTATCAGCAGAAACTTTACAAGCAAAGTGAGTTGGGGGGGCTATTTTCAGCATTTTTAAAGAAAAGAAATTGCAACCAAGAGTTTCATGTCCTGTCAAATGAAGCTTCATAAATGAAGAAGAAATAAAATTTTTTTCCAGACAAGCAAGCACTAAGGGAATTTGTTACCACTAGACCAGCCTCACAAGAGTTCCTTAAAGGTGTTCTGTATTAGTGTGCTCTTGCATTGCTGTAAAGAAATACGTGAGGCCAGGCATGGTGGCTCACTCCTGTAATCCCAGCACTTTGGGAGGCCGAGGTGGGCGGATCACGAGGTCAGGAGTTTGAGACCAGCCTGACCAACATGGTAAAACCCCATCTCTACTAAAAATACAAAAATTAGCCAGGCGTGGTGGTGCACACCTGTAATCCCAGCTACTCGGGAGGCTGAGGCAGGAGAATTGCTTGAACCCAGGAGGCAGAGGTTGCAGTGAGCCAAGATCGCACCACTGCACTCTAGCCTGGGTGACAAAGTGAGACTCTGTCTCGAAAAAAGAAAAGAAATACCTGAGACTGGGTAATTTATAAGAAAAGTTCAATTGACTTATGGTTCTGCAAGCTATACAGGAAGCATGGCAGCATCTACTTTTGGAGAGGCCTCAAGGAACTTTTACTCATGCCAGTAGGTAAAGGAGGGGCAGCCGTCTTACAAGGCAGAAGCAGGAGAGGGAAGGGTGGTGTGACACCTCCCTCCCACCCAGTCCCACTTCCAACACTGGAGATTACAATTTAACATGAGAGTTTTTGGGGACACAGATCCAAACCATATCAAGTTCTAAATATGGAAACAGCTGCTGCCACAAAAGCACCTTAAGCACATAGCCCACAGACCCTATAAAGCAACCGCATAATAGAAACTACAAAGCCACCAGCTAACAATTTCATGATAGGGTCAAAACCTCAAATGTGAATATTAACCTTGATTGTAAATGGTCTAAACAGTCTACTTAAAGGGCACAGAGTAGCAAGTTTGATAAAACAACAAGACCCAGTCATCTGCTGTCTTCAAGTGACCCATCTCACAGGTAACAACACCTACAGGCTCAAAGTAATGAATAACAAAAAAGAGCAGGGCTTGCTATTCTTACATCAGATAAAACAAACTTTAAACCAACAACAGTAAAAAAGGACAAAGAAAGGCATTACATAATGATAGAGGATTCAATTCAACAAGAGGATTTAATTGTCCTAAATATATATGTACCCAATATTGGAGTAGCCACATTGATAAAACAAGACCTAGGAAAAGACTTAGACAACCACACAATAATAGTGGGGAAATTCAACACCCCACTGTCACTATTAGATCACTGAGGCAGAAAACGAACAAAGAAATTCTGGACTTAAAGTAAACACTTGACCAATTGGACTTAATAGGCATCTACAGAACACTTCACTCATCAACCACAGAACATACATTCTTCTCATCTGCACCTGGAACATACTCCAGGATTGACCACATGTTCAGCCATAAAGCAAGTTTCAATAAATTTGAAAAAATCTAAATCATAGCAACCATATTCTAAGACCACAGTGGAATAAAAATAGAAATCAGTACCTTAAAGGACTCAAAACCACAGTTACATGGAAATTATACAACTTGCTCCTGAATGACTTTTGTGTAAACAATGAAATTAAGGCAGAAATAAAAAAAATTTAAATAAATGAAAACAGAGGCACAGGTACCAAAACCTCTGGGATGCAGCAAAAGTAGTGTTAAGAGGAAATTTTATAGTGCTAAATACCTACCGCAGGAAGTTAGAAAGATCCCAATTTAATGATTTAATACTACACCTAAAGGAACTAGAAAAACAAGAACAAACATTTCAAAGCTAGCAGAAAAAGAGAAATAACTAAAATAAGAGCAGAGCTGAATGAAATTGAGACCCAGAAATTAATATAATCAACAAAACTAAAAATTGGTTATTTGAAAGGATACACAAGATTGATAGACCATTAGCTAGATTAACAAAAAAGAAGTTCAAATAAGCACAATTAGAAGTGACAAAAGTGACATTACAACCGATCCCACAGAAACACAAAAGATCCTCAGAGACTATTATGAACACCTCTATGCACACAAACTAGAAAATCTAGAGGAAATGGATGAATTCCTGGAAACACACTGTGATGGTTAATACTAAGTGTGAACTTGATTGGATTGAAGGATACAAAGCATTAATCCTGGGTGTGTCTGTGAGGGTGTTGCCAAAAGAGATTAACATTTGAGTCAGTGGGCTGGGGAAGGCAGATCCACCCTTATCTGGTGGGCACCATCTAATCAGCTCTCAGGGAATATAAAACAGGCAGAAAATCATGAAAAAGGGAGACAGGCCTAGCCTCCCAGCCCACATCTTTCTCCCATGCTGGATGCTTCCTGCCCTCGACCATCAGACTCCAAATTCTTCAATTTTGGAACTTGAACTGGCTCTCCTTGCTCCTCAGCTTGCAGCCTATTGTGGGACCTTGTAATCATGTAAGTTAATACTTAACAAACTCCCGTTTATATCTATGTATCTATCTATGTATCTATGTATGTATGTATGTGTGTGTGTATCTATCTATCTATCTATCTATCTATCTATCTATCTATCTATCTATCTATCTATCTATCTTATTAGTTATGTCCCTCTAAGAGAACCCTGACTAATACACACACAATCTCTTAAGATTGAGTCAGGAAGAAATTGAAACCCTGAAGAGAACAGTATTGAGTTCTGACATTGAATCAGTAATTTAAAACCTACCAACTAGAAAAAAAAAAAAAAAATGCCCCAGACAAATGGATTCGCTGCCAGATTCTGCCAGATGTATTGTACAAATAGGAGCTGCTACCAATTTTGAAACTATACCAAGCCAGTGTTACCTCCATACCAAAACCTGGTGAAGACACAATAACAAAAAAGAAAATGACAAGCCAATATCCCTCATGAGTATAAACCCAAAAATCTACAACAACATGCTAGTAAACCAAATAAAACAGCACATCAAAAACTTTATTACCATGATCAAGTAGGCTTGATTCCTGGGATGAAAGTTGATTCAATATATGCAAATCAAAACGTGTGATTCACCACATAAACAGTATTAAAAATAAAGACCATATGATCATCCCCAATGGATGCAGAGAAAGCTTTTCACAAAACCCCAAATCCCCTCATGATAAAAACCCTCAAGAAACCAGGCATTGAAGGAAAATAATAATAATAATAATTATTATTATAATAAGATCCATCAAATAATAAGATCCATCAAAATAATAAGATCCATCTATGACAAACCCATAGCCAACATTATCCTGAATGGACAAAAACTGGGAGCATTCTCCCTGAGAACTGGAACAAGACAAGGAAGCCCACTCTTACCACTCCTATTCAACATAGTCCTGGAAGTGCTAGCTGGAGCAGTCAGTCAAGTGAAAAAAAGAAAAGGCATCCAATTAGGAAAAGAAGAAGTGAAACTATTTCTCTTTGCAAGTGATATGATTATATACCTGTAAAGTCCCAAAGACTCCACCAAAAGGCTCCTGAAACTGATCAATGACTTCAGTAAAGTTTCAGATGCAAAATAAGTGTGCAGAAATCAGTAACGTTTTTATACACCAATAACGTTCAAACTGAGAGCCAAATAATGAATCCAGTCTCATTTGCAGTAGAGATACACATGCACAACACCTAGGAATACATCTAACCAAGGAAGTAAAACATTTTTACAAGGATTAGAAAACACTGCTGAAAGAAATCAGAAATGACACAAACAAGTGGAAAGACATTCCATGCTCATGGATTGGAAGAATCAATATCACTAAAATGGCCATTCTGCCCATAGCAGTCTACAGATTCAACACTATTCCTATGAAACTACCAGTGTCATTTTTCACAGAATTGGAAGTATGCTAAAATTAACATAGAACCAAAAAAGAGTCCAAGTAGCCAAAGCAATCCTAAGCAAAAAGCCCAAAGCCAGAGGCATCACATTACCTGACTTCAAACTATACTATAAGGGTACAATAACCAAAACAGCATGGTCCTGGTACAAAAACAGACACATAGACCAGTGGAACAGAGTGGAGAACCCCAAAATAAAGCCATACACCTACAGCCATCTGATCTTTGATAAAGTAGACAAAAATAAGCAATGAGGAAAGGACTCCCTGTCAATAAATGGTGCTGGGGCAACTTGCCAGCCATAGGCAGAAGAATGGAACTGGACCCTTACCTTTCATCTTATATAAAAATTAACTCAAGATGGGGAAAAGATTTAAGTTTAAGATCTGAAACTATAAGAAGCTAGGAAACACCATTCTGGACATAGACTTTGGCAAATAATTTATGGCTAAGTCCTTAAAAGCAGTTGCAACAAAAGTAAAAATTGACTGGTGGGACCTAATTAAACCAAAGAACTTCTGCACATCAAAAGAAACTATCAACAGAGTGTACAGTCTACAGAATGAGAGAAAATGTTGGCAAACTACACATCTGACAAAGTTTTTTTAATAGAATGCCTATTATTAAGAAGTAAAAAACAACAGATTTTGGTGAGGCAGCAGAGAAAAAGAGAAAAGGGAGTACTTATGTGGATGGGAATATAAACCTAGTTCAGCCACTGTGGAACGCCATTGGAGGTTTCTCAAGGAGCTTAAAGCAGAACTACCATTCGATCCAGCAGTCCCATTAATGGATACATATCCAAAAGAGAACAAATAATTCTACCAAAAAGACATATAGTTGCATGTTCATCGCTGTGTGCAGAAATCAATAGCGTTTCTATGCACCAATAACGTTCAAGCTGAGAGCCAAATAATGAATCCAGTCTCATTTGCAGTAGATATACACACCTACAACACCTAGGAATACATCCAACCAAGGAAGTAAAACATTTTTACAAGAACTAGAAAACACTGCTGAAAGAAATCAGAAATGACGCAAACAAGTAGAAAGACATTCCATGCTCATGGATTGGAAGAATCATTGCTGCACTATTCACAATAGCAGAGATGTGGTATCATCCTAGGTGCCTAGCAACAGTAGACTGGATGAAGAAAATGTGGTACATATACACCACAGAATACAATGTGGCCTTAAGAAAGAACAAAATCATGTCCTTTGCAGCAACCTGGATGCAGCTGGAGGTCATTATTCTAAGTGAATTAATACGGGAACAAAAAACCAATACCGCATGTTCTCACTTAGAAGTGGGAGCTAAACATTGGGTACTCATGGACATAAAGATGGCAACAGCAGAAACTGAGGACTGCTCGAGGTTGGAGGGAGGGAGCAAGGGTTGAAAACCTAACTGGTGGAAACTGTGTTCACTACCTGGGTGATGGGCTCATTTGTACCCCAAACCTCAGCATCATGTAATATACCCTGGTAACAAACCTGCGCATGTACCCCCTTGGTTCTAAAATTAAAGTTCAAAACACAACAATCCCAGAAAAATTTATTAAATTCAAACTATCAGTTTCAGGCACATATTTTCATCCTTTTTAGAAGTACTTTTGAGCTGAAATTGAAATGTCAAATAACATATCATTTGAAATACATGTTTGGTTGAGTATTGCCATCACATGGTATTAAATATTAAACATTATTTTATGCTGTTAGCGGGTCACAAGTTTCAGTGTGTAATGAAGAAAATATTATCTGTTTGATGACTTCTGTGCTCTGTGATAGAACTGTGTGTATTTATTTACCATAGTAACAGGCTTTGTTCTGTTAGTGAATACTTAAATGTGATTATTAAGTGTTATGTGAATATAACTATTTCAGACATAGTCTATAACTGCTATACACAAATTCTATAGGTTTTGGGAAATAATAATAATGAAAAGATGCCTCTGCCTCATATATAACAGTCCCTACAGTAATCAGGACAGACGTCTTTAGAACCAGGTGGTTTGTACCCAGTGATAAGTTAATATGTAATAAAGTCTTGCTATAAGTGAATCTGAGAAAAAAGCTACTTTTAATAAATACATGGATTTTTTTTTAAACAGAAACCTTTAACAGAATAAATTTATAATATTTTAGAGTCAGTGCAGTTATACATATGTTTCTTCATACTGCTTACTGTCTATGTGACCTTGGGCAAATTCACTCATCTCCGTGTGCTTTAGTGTTTTTATCTGTCAAATGGTTATAATAACAGTTTCTATCTGGTACGGTACCTGTAGTTGTACCTGGCACTTAGCAAACACTGTGTTATCTTTTATTATCATTGTGTATACGCCATTCAGAGTACGTGGGCACAGTGTTTGAGGCACCTACTAAAGCCGGGCACAGTGTCCGAGGCACCTACTAAAGCCGGGCGCAGTGTCCGCGGCACCTACTAAAGCCGGGCACAGTGTCCGAGGCACCTACTAAAGCCGGGCACAGTGTCCGCGGCACCTACTAAAGCCGGGCACAGTGTCCGAGGCACCTACTAAAGCCGGGCACAGTGTCCGAGGCACCTACTAAAGCCGGGCACAGTGTCCGCGGCACCTACTAAAGCCGGGCACAGTGTCCGAGGCACCTACTAAAGCCGGGCACAGTGTCCGAGGCACCTACTAAAGCCGGGCACAGTGTCCGCGGCACCTACTAAAGCCGGGCACAGTGTCCGAGGCACCTACTAAAGCCGGGCACAGTGTCCGAGGCACCTACTAAAGCCGGGCACAGTGTCCGAGGCACGTACTAAAGCCGGGCACAGTGTCCGAGGCACCTACTAAAGCCGGGCACAGTGTCCGCGGCACCTACTAAAGCCGGGCACAGTGTCCGCGGCACCTACTAAAGCCGGGCACAGTGTCCGCGGCACCTACTAAAGCCGGGCACAGTGTCCGAGGCACCTACTAAAGCCGGGCACAGTGTCCGCGGCACCTACTAAAGCCGGGCACAGTGTCCGAGGCACCTACTAAAGCCGGGCACAGTGTCCGCGGCACCTACTAAAGCCGGGCACAGTGTCCGCGGCACCTACTAAAGCCGGGCACAGTGTCCGCGGCACCTACTAAAGCCGGGCACAGTGTCCGCGGCACCTACTAAAGCCGGGCGCAGTGTCCGCGGCACCTACTAAAGCCGGGCACAGTGTCCGAGGCACCTACTAAAGCCGGGCACAGTGTCCGAGGCACCTACTAAAGCCGGGCACAGTGTCTGAGGCACCTACTAAAGCTGTAGGCTGGAGGTTCTTGCACTTGAGATAAGCCCCGATTACAAAATAACACTCTGTGGAAGGTGTTTTATATTTGCAGCTTACCTGTGAATATTCCAAGTAAAGTCACTGCTATTTGAAGCCAACCCAGCTGCTTTCCTTTATCAGAAAAGAATGTTCCCCTGTGAAGCCTTTTTATACTGTCCTAACAACCCAAATCCAGGAACACAACCCCTGCTCCCAACTCAAATGGACTTTTTCACCCAGTCAAATCAATGTTGGTTCTGTCTGTCCATTTTCTTTACATTAGGAAATGACATGTAGCCCAAAGGACAAATGTTTTAGGGGATGGATACCCCATTCTTGTTGATGTGCTTGTTTCACATTACATGCCTGTATCAAAACATCTTATATAGCCCATAAATATATACACCTACTATGTACCCACAAAAATTACAGAAAAAATAGCATCTGAAACAAATTGCCAAACTTATGCATAGGATTGAGTGAAGTAAATTAATTTTGAGTCTCAAAATGTTGCTGGTGTATTTAATTTTTAAAAGAGCTTAAGATAGTGGGCTTTCAGGTTTACATTTTAGTTTATTGCTTTCTTAAAGCAGTTAACTATCATTAAAAGATGGTTGCACTTTAAAAGTTGATTCGGGAGAGTAGTATTTATTGTCCAAAGTTTCATATTCATCTTTAAAAGATGTACGTCAAAGTAATTTTTTTCTTGTTTTGTTTGATAGAGTTCTAAATACATGAATATAGCTTTAAGAGATGGACCTTAAATTGCAATTTAATTTCAGACTCAATAGACACACGATACTCTGCTACCATTTTGGCAGTGTTATAAGCCTATTGATTATTTCTGATATTATCAGTGAGCAGCTTTTGTAGTGGTCAAGGTGCTATATAAATATAATGATTTCTTACTGACTTTCTGTAAACTTACGTGTTTGGACTGGTGAAGATTTATTTCTAGAAATAAAATATTCTCATATGAAGTGTGAACATTGTATTTTTACACCTAGTTTATGTGAAAAATATCTGTATTGTGTATTATAGTTTTGCAGTCACTGAAAATAGTGTACTGAATTCAGCTGTTTTCTTCAGGTAGCTATTCCATGATAACTGAGTTTGTCAAGCAACAATTGAAGATTTGAATGTTGGACTATGAAAATGAGGTTTCAGCAGTCACAGTCATCACAGGGTGAGAATAGATTAGATAGTGTTGCCAGGTTTTAGAAGACAGAGTATTAGAACCTAGTATCAGTAAGGAGGAACACAGGAATATAGAGAAGACCATTTTTGAGTTTTAGATTTTATAGAATTTTTAGACAGTTTTGCAGGTATATATCAAGAGAGGGGGAGGGAAAGGAATGCGTTTGAATTTATTCTGCAGGTGCCTGCAGTTATTAATGTGCTCTATAATTGTGTCATGCCAGAAGGTGACTTAATTTGAAAGTAAGCTAACATGGAACAGACTTGACTACCTGGGGGAGCTGCTCTTAGAAGAAAAGAGATAAAGTTTAATATAAACAGTACAAAATCACCTATCCAGTGGGGAAATAACTTTTGAGTTTGGAGAACATTGTATCTAAGGAACAGTTGCCAAAGCAGATATTACAGTGAAAGGTGAGATCAATAGACTTAACGTGACCTGATCTTATTAGTTGATAAGAAAAAGTTTTGGAAGTACATAAATACAAACACACATTTTTTAAGGGTGAAACAGAAATTATATTTTTCATGTTACTTTAGGTAAAACTGTTTTGTTGGGCTGTACTACTATGATGATCAAATATAACCTTAATTGAAAATTTTTATAGAGCTTATTTTTTCAGAAATATTTTATCCCAGTACATTTAGGAAATTACAAAAAAAAATACAAAAAAAACAAAAAACTAGGATCCATACTGGGTGCATTTTTGTGAATTAAAACCTGAAATAATTGTTTAATAGTTTCCATATTTGTGTTGTATTTTCTGTGTTTTGTGTGGAGTATCAATAATCAGGCCAGGTACGGTGGCTCATGCCTGTAATCCCAGCACTTTGGGAGGCTGAGGTGGGCGGATCACTTAAGGTCAGGAGTTCAAGACCAGCCTGGCCAACATGGTGAAACCCTGTCTCTACTAAAAATACAAAAATTAGCCAGGTGTGGTGGCAGGCGCCTGTACTCCCAGCTACTTGGAAGGCTGAGGCGGGAGAATCACTTAAACCTGGGAGGCAATGAGCCAGAGATCGCACCACTTTGCTCCAGCCTGGGTGACAGAGTGAGACTGTGTCTCAAAAACAAATGAAGAAACAAAAAGCAATGATCATACTATAAAAAAATCAAATACTAAAAAAAAATCCCAGTAATCACCTATTTTAAAATGCACTTTGTAGTTTTCGCATCTTGTTCTTGATCTTATTTGACCCTCAGAGAAATACTGTGAATTAGGTAAAAGAAGTCAGAGAGCGGCTGGGCACGGTGGCTCATGCCTGTAATCCCAGCACTTTGGGAGGCTGAGGCGCGCGGGTCACGAGGTCAGGAGATTGAGACCATCCTGGCTAACACGATGAAACCCCATCTCTAGTAAAAATACAAAAAAAAAAAAAAAAAAAAATTAGCCGGGCATGGTGGCGGGCGCCTGTGGTCCCAGCTACTCGGGAGGCTGAGGCAGGACAATGGCGTGAACCCGGGAGACAGAGCTTGCAGTGAGCCAAGATTGCACCACTGCACTCCAGCCTGGGCGACAGAGCGAGACTCCATCTCAAAAAAAAAAAAAAAAAAAAAAAGGAAAGTCAGAGAGCTTTTGCATAACTGGCCCAGAGGGTGTGGTAGATGGAGCTACACTCAGACTTTGGAGCCTGACTAATAACACAATTAGAGCATGAGCAAGAGGAAGGCCAGGGGCAGCTTTGACATGGGAAGAGAGCTACTTACATACTGACCGGTAATTGATAATGGGAACAAACGACCTGCCCAAATTACTTTCCAAAAAGTCTCTGTTGGGAGACATTTCAAGTTTAGAAATGAACAATTTTGAGATGATCTGGGCAGATTTGAAATCTTGTGAAATCCCTTCAAAATCCGAAAATGAGTGTGTGAGAGCCCAGCGTGTGTTTTGTGAAGACTTCTCTTGTGTGTCTTGTATTGCTTAGAGGGCATGATTTGATGACATGGTCAGAACATTCTGGGCAGAATCGTTACATCATCAGTTCTTGTCATATTGGCTCCAACCTTATTTTCTTACGGTTGCTTTTCAGTTTTATGAAACAATTTCCTCCAAACACCTTATCAGTGGCTCAGTATCCGAACCTTTTACTCCAAATACAGTTTCAAAAGAGATATGCTCTCTGCCTGTTAACTATTTCAGTTGAGACCCAACCTTACATCAATAGAATGAATCTCTGCAACGGTTGGTTTCAGCAAGGTGGTGAGAGGGATTTTGATGGTGAGGGACAGCGAAGCAGGAAAGGGTATGTTCTCATCACTCATGAAAACTTACTTCTCAGATAGCGTTTGCTCATAACCGCTCGCTAATCCAGGCAGTACTTATCCAGGTTCTCTTGCTACCTGGATTTTTTAAGGATAAAAGTCTACCAAAATTTTTCAAAGCAAATTCTGTAATCTACTAGAAGAATTTATTTTTTTGAAGGCAATAGGTGACTCTTAGCTAGAAAATAAAAAGTGTTAACTGTCGTTTCTATTTACTTTGGGAAGCATTTTGCCAAACAAAAAGGCCTCTTTTAGGTGTGGGAAATGAGTGATGAGTAGCTGACTCAGGAGCCGCAGCTAGCCTCTCTTATATATAGTCTATGTTCAGAGTGCGGAAAAAAGAGAAGAAACTGCTTTGTGACAGTTTCCCACGCACAAGAGATATTAATGAAATAAAATGTTTTTAACTCGTGTGTATATATATATATATGAGTCCCATGTTAAAAAATATATATATATATATATATAGAGAGAGAGAGAGAGAGAGAGTTATCCTTCTCTTTCTTAAACCACAGTGCTAGAGGCAAAATCTGTCCTGGTAGTCTGTTGAATGTGTGGTTGCCTAGACACACGTTATAAATAATTATTTAATTAATTTTTAAAAATGGAACTTGAGATTTTAGCATTTTGCTTATAACACATAAAATTTGAGATCTGGGACCTCAGAATTTTCTTCTGTACTTGCACACATGCTTTCAAATGTCATTACCTACTTGAGTCCAGCATCTGGCAATTCGTTATACTGAGCAGCTAATTTTTCATTGTGGTTCCTCTGGGTCTCAGTGCAGAGTCATACAACACAGCTGACTACAGAGTAGCGACCTGGATTCAGATCAGCTGCCAAATTAAGTTTACAATTCTGTAACATTCAGGTCTAATAAGGGAGTTATATACAAAAGAGCATTTAGTCTTAGTTGATTTAGTAGTTTGATGTGTATCTTCGTATTTTAACATATAACTAACGAAGAAATATGCTGAATATTATTTTCTTTTAAAAAACATTTTAATTATCTGAATAATCGAATTCATCCCTATGTGAGACTGTAATTATATTAAACAGTGTAATATATGTGTTACATATATATATAGTATATATGTATAAAATATATATAGTGTAAATGTTAGAGTCAGGCAAATTGGGTTTTGATTTCTGCAGAAATACTGTTATTTGGGCATCTTCTATGTGGCTCAGTTTCCACATAGGTAAAATGAAAATTCTAAAAATAACTTCATAGGGCCATTTTAGAAATTAAATAAAGTCATAAATATACTATTAATGCATATTATAAAGTGTCCAGTAGGTGGTATTCTTATTGCATTTGATGTAATTTATTTATGAATTTGAAGCTTCAAGCTTCCTTGACCGTAACAAATGCATACATAACCCAGAATATGAACAATTCACTCTTCAAAAGTTTTACTCACTTGAAATAATATACTCCACTTATGATAATGACTTCATTTTAGAAATCATATTACTTGGGATTGGTACCCTTTCTATTACAACAGGAGCCCTAGCTACTCAAATAGACTTACTTTCCAGTAGAAAAATATATTTTTACAATCCACATAGAATCTCATTTGAACAACTAGAGCAATGTCCAGAGTCCTCACTTCTTACTTAAAATAAAACTACAGATACAGTAAGATCAAGGATCATACCGTAAGAACAAAGGCAAAAGTTAGGTAGTAAAGGGGAAGAGAAGAACGTTTTATTAATTTTTTTAACTAAAGAAAGCCACCATAATTGAATGTCAACTTTAGCTGTGACTTTTCTGGCAGCTAGAATAAAAGTAAGATCGTTGTCTGATAGAACTGAATGTCTCAGTTTATTAGAACAACAAAATACTGTAATCTTTCTCAAAACCTACATGGAACAAACTGGAACAAGTATTTCATGAAAACCAAATGAAAAATAAGTAAATAAATGATTTCATCACCACTGTCACCAAAAACAAATGAATTTTTTGGATAGGAAAACATGGCTAAGTTGGTAATTGACTGAGACATTGGCCTGGTGTGTTATCTGTGGTTGTATTTTATTAAACTTATATTTACAGAAATGGAAAAAAACTAACTTTTCATACAGTTTGGTGTATTCATAGCAAAATATGAATAGAAATCACCTCTGGAATCTTGATGAACAAGGCCTTTAGTGGTTCATTGGTGTAGAATGAATATCAATTTAGAGAAATAGGTCTATAAGTCAGGAAGTGATGCAGAAATGTCATAAGGCTTATTCATAATCACAACATTTTTCAGATATTTTCCACGTTAAATCTGAAATTTTAATTTCTTAGATAAAAATCTGTTATTTTTGATTTTTTTTTACTTTTGTTTTGATTTGTAAAATTTCTATTTCATTTCTCTCTTTAAGGGTTGAGATTTTCCTAAGTGTGAGATGTCTGCCTCTTTCTTAATAAAAGAGGATCTACATGTTTCAAAAATACTTTTATTCCCAGTATTTCTGTTTTTTGTTTGTTTGTTTTTGGAGACAGAGTCTCGTTCTGTCACCCAGGCTAGAGTACAGTGGCACGATCTTGGCTGACTGCAGCCTCTGCTTCCCAGGTTCAAGAGATTCTCGTGCCTCAGCCTCCTGAATAGCTGGGATTACAGGCATGTGCCACCACACTTAGCTAATGTTTGTGTTTTTACTAGAGACAGGGTCTTGCCATGTTGTCCAGGCTGGTCTGCAACTCCTGGGCTCAAGTGATCCGCTCGCCTCAGCCACCATGTCTGGCCTGTTGCCAGTTTTTATTCTTATTTTTAAACTTCATCTTGGAAATAAAACTAAAAAAAAAAAAAAAAAAAAAGGCAGTAGCTGCTGAATTCTTTTAGGAACTCTATGGAGTTCAGGTTCTTGGTCTATTTAGCCGTAGTGGAATTTATGAAAATCTAAAACATTAATGATGCCTAAGAGGCAGGCTGCCTCACTGAGATGAATGCTTTGCCTGGCCTGATAGCAGAATTAAAGAAAATTGAAACTTCAGCGTTTTGAAGATCACTGGGGTATCATTTGGTATGTATTCAGAATAGTTCATGAATAATGTTTAGATGGAGTCCATATAAACCCAATTCATAGTAGAGTGGAAAAATTTTTATATACAGAAAACTGCTGTAGCCAGATAGTAAAAGAAGATATATTTAACTGTTTATAGTAGGCAACAGAAGGCAGTGTGGAAGAGTCCAATGAAAACAGTGTTAGGAGTGCTTCTTGTCCCTTTTTACACAACTAGAAAATATAAAGCAAAAGTAATTTTTATAACATATGCCAAGGATCTACTCATATGGTACATGTTTTATATCTGCCATAACAGACTGACATAGCATCTTTCACTGTCAAATTGAGTTAGCTGTGGTACATATCATGGATGGTTTCAAAGCTATTTTGCCATTAATAAGGCATTTACAAATACTATAATAAGTGCTTATAGTATATACTGCCGGTCCTTTCAGATTGCTGCTTTGCATGCATCAAATCCTATTTATAAAGTGGTATTATCCAAAGTGAATAGGGAAAATGATCTAGAAAGTCAGGATTTTTTTTTTCCACACTCACAAGTAGAATCCTTCTCTCTAGTGAATTGAGTCAGCATTTCAGAATGGAAAAGTCTGATGTGCAAATAGCTAGCCCCAAGATACCTATAAAATGGGGTCACTCAAAAAGGTGAAAAGTACAATGAATTTACATTTAAGTGTCCTTGGCCTCTTTTAGGTGTGGGAAATGAGTGATGAGTAGCTGACTCAGGAACTATAGCTAACCTCTTTTATATATAGTCTATGTTTAGAGTATAGTAAAAAGAGAAGAAACTGCTTTGTGACAGTTTCCCATGTACAAGAGATATTAATGAAATAAAATGTTTTTTTAACTCATATATATATATGAGTCCCATGTTAAAATATATATATACACATATATGTACATATATACGTGTATATATATGTATATACACATATATGTCTCCCAAGTAGCTGGGACTATAGACATTTGCCACCATGCCCAACAAAGATTGGTTGGCTTTTATTCATTTTTTAAAAATAAGGAAAAAATCCCCACCTTTTACAAAACGTGTAGAATGTTATTTCTTTCTAATCTTAACTCTCAATCTCTTGTGTTCTTAGTCCATCAAGTAAGAATTCTTTCTACACCAAACTTTCAAAGTAAGATTCAAAATAATCTTGAAATAGTTAAAACTCTTTCCAAGAATTAGAATGATTTCATAACAAAACATTTGATATATGGGCCAACAAATAGAATAGATTTAGCCAAAGACTGATTTTTGAAAGGAAAGTTCAGGAAACCTCCCAGAATATTCATATATATAATGTACAGTATAACTGATTAATGGATAATTTGGGAAATTAGAAACTTGGGGGTTAAGATCTGTGAAGACCAACGTCTTTCTAATAGGATTTCCAGAGGCAGGTGATAGTTAAGATAGAGGGGTGGAAATAGTCAATGAAATGATAAAAACATTATTCACAAAGCTGAAAAAAGCCTTATAATTCTTCAGATAGAAAGGGCTCACTATGTGTTGAATCACATGATTTAAAAAAGTCAAAAACTCAATTATTCCTAGTAAAATTTTAGAACTCCATAGAAAATATATATATACCAACATATTCCCCTAGAGGGAAAAAATAAGTGACAAAACATGCAGGAACTGGACTAAAATCACATTTCTCATATGCAGCATTTAATTCTAGAAGATCACGGAACAGTACTTTCAAAGTTCTGAAAGATAAATAACTTTGAATAAGTGCGATGTGGTGCTGAGAAGAATGTATATTCTGTTGATTTGGGGTGCAGAGTTCTGTAGATGTCTATTAGGTCCACTTGGTGCAGAGCTGAGTTCAAGTCCTGGATATGTTTGTTAACTTTCTGTCTCATTGATCTGTCTAATGTTGACAGTGGGGCGTTAATGTCTCCCATTATTATTGTGTGGGAGTCTAAGTCTCTTTGTAGGTCTCTAAGGACTTACTTTATTAATCTGGGTGCTTCTGTATTGGGTGCATATATATATTTAGGATAGTTAGCTCTTCTTGTTGAACTGATCCCTTTACCATTATGTAATGGCCTTCTTTGTCTCTTTTGATCTTTGTTGCTTTAAAGTCTGTTTTATCAGAGACTAGGATTGCAACCCCTGCTTTTTTTTTGTTTTCCATTTGCTTGGTAGATCTTCCTCCATATCTTTATTTTGAGCCTATGTATGTCTCTCTGTACATGAGATAGGTCTCCTAAATACAGCACACTGATGGGTCTTGACTCTTTATCCAATTTGCCAGTCTGTGTCTTTTAATTGGAGCATTTAGCCCATTTACATTTAAGGTTAATATTGTTATGTGTGAATTTGATCCTGTCATTATGATGTTAGCTGGTTATTTTGCTCATTAGTTGATGCAGTTTCTTCCTAGCATCGATGGTCTCAGTAAAGCACTCCTCAGCAAATATAAAAGAACATAAATTATAACAAACTGTCTCTCAGACCATAGTGCAATCAAATTAGAACTCAGGATTAAGAAACTCACTCAAAACCGCTCAACTACATGGAAACTGAACAACCTGTTCCTGAATGACTACTGGGTACATAACGAAATGAAGGCAGAAATAAAGATGTTCTTTGAAACTGATGAGAACGAAGACACAACATGCCAGAATCTCTGGGACACATTTAAAGCAGTGTGTAGAGGGAAATTTAGAGCATTAAGTGCCCACAAGAGAAAGCAGGAAAGATCTAAAATTGACACCCTAACATCACAATTAAAAGAACTAGAGAAGCAAGAGCAAACACATTCAAAAGCTAGCAGAAGGCAAGAAATAACTAAGATCAGAGAAGAACTGAAGGAAATAGAGACACAAAAAAAACCCTTCAAAAATCAATGAATCCAGGAGCCGGTTTTTTGGAAAGATCAACAAAATTGATAGACCGCTAGCAAGACTAATGAAGAATAGAGAGAAGAATCAAATAGATGCAATAAAAAATGATAAAGGGGGTATCACCACTGACCCCACAGAAATGCAAACTACCATCAGAGAATACTATAAACACCTCTATGCAAATAAACTAGAAAATCTAGAAAAAATGGATAAATTCCTCGACAGATACACTCTCCCAAGACTAAACCAGGAAGAAGTTGAATCTCTGAATAGACCAATAACAGGCTCTGAAATTGAGGCAATAATTAATAGCTTACCAACCAAAAAAGTTCAGGACCAGATGGATTCACAGCTGAATTCTACCAGAGGTACAAAGAGGAGCTGTTACCATTCCTTCTGAAACTATTCCAATCAATAGAAAAAGAGGGAATCCTCCCTAACTCATTTTATGAGGCCATCATCATCCTGATACCAAAGCCTGGCAGAGACACAACAAAAAAAAGATAATTTTAGACCAATATCCATGAT
This sequence comes from Homo sapiens, assembly GCF_000001405.40. Classification (NCBI taxonomy): domain Eukaryota; kingdom Metazoa; phylum Chordata; class Mammalia; order Primates; family Hominidae; genus Homo; species Homo sapiens. The sequence goes on along the minus strand of NC_000001.11, from coordinate 246,241,527 downwards.
GAATATTGATGCAGAAATCCTCAATAAAATACTGGCAAACCGAATCCAGCAGCACATCAAAAAGCTTATCCACTACGATCAAGTTGGCTTCATCCCTGGGATGCAAGGCTGGTTCAACATACGCAAATCAATAAACATAATCCATCATATAAACAGAACCAAAGGCAAAAGCCATATGATTATCTCAATAGATGCAGAAAAGGCCTTCGACAAAATTCATCAGCCCTTCATGCTAAAAATTCTCAATAAACTAGGCATTGATGTGACGTATCTCTAAATAATAAGAACTGTTTATGACAAACCCACAGCCAGTATCATACTGAATGGGCAAAAACTGGAAGCATTCCCTTTGAAAACTGGCACAAGACAGGGATGCCCTCTCTCACCACTCCTGTTCAACATAGTGTTGGAAATTCTGGCCAGGGCAATCAGGCAGGAGAAAGAAAGAAAGGGTATTCAGTTAGGAAAAGAGGAAGTCAAATTGTCCCTGTTAGCAGATGACATGAGTGTATATTTAGAAAACCCCATTGTCTCAGTCCAAAATCTCCTTAAGCTCATAAGCAACTTCAGCAAAGTCTCAGGATACAAAATCGATGTGCAAAAATCACAAGCATTCTTATACTCCAATAACAGACAAACAGAGAGCCAAATCATGAGTGATCTCCCATTCAAAATTGCTTCAAAGAGAATAAAATACCTAGGAATCCAACTTACAAGGAATGTGAAGGACCTGTTCAAGGCGAACCACAAACCACTGCTCAATGAAATAAAAGAGGACACAAACAAGTGGAAGAACATTCCATGCTCATGGATAGGAAGAATCAATATCATGAAAATGGCCATACAGCCCAAGGTAATTTGTAGATTCAATGCTATTGCCATCAAGCTACCAATGACTTTCTTCACAGAATTGGAAAAAACTACTTTAAAGTTCATATGGAACCAAAAAAGAGCCCTTATTGCCAAGACAATCCTAAGCCAAAAGAACAAAGCTGGAGGCATCATGCTACCTGACTTCAAACTATACTACAAGGCTACAGTAACCAAAACAGCATGGTCCTGGTACCAAAACAGAGATATAGATCAATGGAACAGAACAGAGCCCTCAGAAAGAATACCACACATCTACAACCATCTGATCTTTGACACACCTGACAAAAACAAGAAATGGGGGAAAGATTCCCTATTTAATAAATGTTGCTGGCAAAAGTGACTAGCCACATGTAGAAAGCTAAAACTGGATCCTTTCCTTACACCTTATACAAAAATTAATTCAAGATGGATTAAAGACTTAAATGTTAGACCTAAAACCACAAAAACCCTAGAAGAAAACCTAGGCAATACCATTCAGGACCTAGGGAGGGGCAAGGACTTCATGACTAAAACAGCAAAAGCAATGGAAACAAAAGCCAAAGTAGACAAATGGGTTCGAATTAAACTAAAGAGCTTCTGCATAGCAAAAGAACCTACTATCAGAGTGAACAGGCAACCTACAGAATGGGAGAAAATTTTTACAATCTACTCATCTGACAAAGGGCTGATATCCAGAAACTATAAAGAACTTAAACAAATTTACAAAAAAAAATCAAACAACCTCATCAAAAAGTTGGCAAAGGATATGAACAGACGCTTCTCAAAAGAAGACATTTATGCAGCCAACAGACACATAAAAAGTGCTCATCATCACTGGCCATCAGAGAAATGCAAATCAAAACCACAATGAGATACCATCTCACACCAGTTAGAATGGCGATCATTAAAAAGTCAGGAAACAACAGGTGCTGGAGAAGATGTGGAGAAATACGAACACTTTTACACTGTTGGTGGGACTGTAAACTAGTTCAACCATTGTGGAAGACAGTGTGACTATTCCTCAAGGATCTAGAACTAGAAATACTATTTGACCCAGCCATCCCATTACTGGGTATATACCCAAAGGAGTATAAATCATGCTGCTATAAAGACACATGCACACGTATGTTTATTGCGGCAGTATTCACAATAGCAAAGACTTGGAATCAACCCAAGTGTCCATAGACTGGATTAAGAAAATGTGGCACATATACGCCATGGAATACTATGCAGCCATAAAAAATGATGAGTTCATGTCCTTTGTAGGGACATGGATGAAGCTGGAAACCATCATTCTTAGCAAACTACCGCAAGGACAGAAAATCAAACACCACATGTTCTCACTCATAGGTGGGAATTGAACAATGAGAACACTTGGACACAGGGTGGGGAACATCACACACCAGGGCCTGTCATGGGGTGGGGGTAGAGGGGAGGGATAGCATTAGGACATATACCTAATGTAAATGATGAGTTAATGGGTGCAGCACACCAACATGGCACATGTATACATATGTAACAAACCTGCACGTTGTGCACATGTACCTTAGAACTTAAAGTATAATTTAAAAAATCATAACTGCTTAAAACTCACTGTAGTACACACTGTCCTGCTGGAATATTGCAGCTGCCTCCCGTTGCTTTCGTGGTGGGCTCAAGTGTCGTGACTATCCACCGAAAACGTTGTGTGACGCTCATCAGGCATCTCTACTTGCACAGTTCGTCTCTCCAGTAAATTGCACTGAAGTAAAAAGTAATTTCCCTCAAAAAAAAAAAAAAAAACCAAACAAAGAAAATAACTTTGAACCAAAAATCTCATGTAGCCAAAACTATTTGTTAAGTAAGAAGGCAGTGATAGAAAGATACTCAAATATGCATGGATATAAGCTATTTTTTATCTAATTATCTAGGCTTCTTATATGAAATAATATATGTAAGGAGTTTCTGCAATGAAATGGTAGAAGAATCCAAGAAAGAAGATAATCTGAGATGTAAGAAAGAATTGCAGGTAAAGTAAAGAAAAGCAAAAAAACGAAAATGAAATCTGCTTGACTCTTGGGATATTTTGTTTCAAACAGGAGAAGTTGAATGGCATAAGATTGCATTTCCTCCCCTGTGGAGCTGTTCCACAATACTTAGTTCTACAGTGAGTAATAGATATATAATTATAATATTGTGAATGCTGCCTGTTGACTATCTGTCTCCAAAAATCAACTGAGAAAGCACAGAGGACTGGGATCTATTTATGGAATAGAATTTAATGAATTAAAAATAATCACTGACAGTGTAAAATAATGCTGTAACAAAAGTCAAGAAGTAAATATAGGAATGCATCGTTGAAACCTGGCCAGGTGTGGTGGCACACTCCTGTAATCACAGCACTTTCGGAAGCTCAGGCGGGCAGATTGCTTGAGCTCAGGAGTTCGAGTGCAGCCTGGGTAACACAATGATACCCATCTCAAGAACATCAACAAAAAACAACTACTCAGGAGGCTGAGGTGTGAGGATTGCTTGAGCCCGGGAGGTTGAGGCTGCAGTGAGCCGAGATCGTGCCACTGCACTTCATCCTGGTCAACAGAGCCAGACCTTGTCTTAAAAAAAGAGAAAGAAACCCCAGTGGTATCTATGAGAAAAATGAAAAAACAGAAGATACTCTTTAGAAAATTTTATCACCCAAGATAGAGTGTATTAGGGAAAGGAAAATTTTCAATACTTAAAAAAATGCATGTATTACTTTCCTAGTTTTAAGAAAAGCTTAAACATTTAAAGGGTAATTTAATCAATGGGGGATTGTTAAATTATATTTTTTTCTAATAATGCAGCAGGTAAAACAACTGCAGGAGATTTCTTTGTGTACTGAAATCAAGTTTTAAGTGAATACAGTAAACTAAGTCACAGTACGATACGGATGGCATGGTCTAATTCAGTGTAAAATGCTTTTATGTTTGTATATATTCATGTGGCAAAAAGTCTAGAAGGCTATTCTCACTTCAGCTTTTTAAAGTTCTGTGCATACTAGAGGTTTACAGGGACTTTTAAAATGTCATTCAAAAGTTACAATAATAAAGATATTTTGAAAAATGAGTTTGTTTAAAGCCCAGAAACGGGGAGGGAGTGACTTACTGAGATTAACCAGGAAGCTGGTGGCAGAATTAGGACTAAAATCCAGTCTGAAGAGATGTTACAAAGCCCTGGGAAGTTTTAGCTTTCCCCCTTGAATTTCCAGCAGCCCTCCTAAGCTACCTCTAGTAATAACAGTAATAGAACAACAACCATAAGTATGTGTTAAATTTAATGTGAAGTGTGAGTAAAAATATCTTTAGGAGAAAAAAGTCTGTGTTCCTCATATCTTGGTTGGAGGCGATGGTCAGGAAAGGCTTAATAAAGGGAAGGTATCAGTTGAGAAAAGCCTTGAGCAGCAGGCATAGTTTTTTTGATAGACTGAGATGGGAATGGAGCTGCGACCAGTTATATCGGGGAGTATGAGGGAACACACACAGAGAACCTGTCTGCCAAATGAAGTCCTTTCTGCGCCTACTCATGTTTCTATGACAAGAATTAATTCACATAGAATTGACAAGTGGGGGGATGCTATTGAGTTAATGTGGTCGTCTCTTTGGTTTATTAAGTGGTTTTTCTTGATGTATTAATGGTTTTCTTCATCAAGTGGTAGCAGCTAAACCCAAAGTGCAGTAAACGCCAGCACAGCCCAGCAAGGTGGAGGAATGGAGAAACAGTGAGCCCGAGACCTCTTGTCTCTCGCTTGGTTTGGCCATAGTATTCCCAGTCTTTGTGCATTTTCAGAATTTAGATACCTTTCTTACAGCCTTCTTTCAAGCTACTTTAACCTTTAAATGTATGGTTGGCTGGGCATGGTGGCTCACACCTGTAGTCCCAGCACTTTGGGAGGCTGAGGTGGGTAGATCACTTTAGCCCCAGAGTTTGAGACAAGCCTGGGCAACATAGGGAGATGCCGCCTCTGCAGAAAAATAAAAAAACTTTGGGAGGCCGAGGTGGGTGGATCACGAGGTCAGGAGATCGAGACCATCCTGGCTAACACAGTGAAACCCTGTCTCTACTAAAAATACAAAAAATTAACCAGGCGTGGTGGCAGGCCTCTGTAGTCCCAGCTGCTCAGGAGGCTGAGGCAGGAGAATGGCGTGAACCCAGGAGGCAGAGCTTGCAGTGAGCCGAGATCGCACCACTGCACTCCAGCCTGGGCGACAGAGTGAGACTCCATCTCAAAAAATAAATAAATTAATTAATTAAATAAAAAAAGTTAGCCAGGTGTGGTGGGATGTGTCTATAATCCCAGCTACTGGGAGGCTGAGGCGGGAGGATTGCCTGAGCCCAGGAGGTTGAGGCTGCAGTGAGCTATTATTGCGCCACGGCATGCCAGCCTCGGCAACATTGTGAGACCCTGTCATTCATTTCATTCATTCATTTATCCATAAATAAATAATTAAATGTATACTTATTTATCATAATATTTCTTTATTAAGAATTAAATGTCTTTTAAAAATCACGCTAGTTTTAAAAGTTGGGATTCTTACTTTTTAGGGATTTGGTTATAATACTGTATAGAGTTTGAGTGTTCTGCCTTATGAGCCCTCAAGTTATAATATTTTATATACCACATTTTTCAGGAATGTATATATCCAATTATAATAAGTCTTTACTCTGTAGAGTAGTGCTTTCTGTGATGATGGAAATGTTTTATATCTTGTTTCTAGTATTGTAGTCATTAGCCATATGTGGCTGTTTAAGTTCATTAAATTAAATAAAAAATTCAGTTTCTCAGTTGCACTAGCCATATTTCAAGTGCCCAGTAGCCACTCAGTGGCTCATGATTTCCATATTGGACAGCACAGCTGTAGAGAGAGCTTAGAGCTTGTAGGGTCAGTGAACCCCTTGAAAAGACCCCAAGGGCTCTTTCCCCAGCCCTCCCCTTCCTAGAGGAGAGGCTAGGAATTTGCTCTAGAAGAAAAATTCAAATAGAGGTTCTAGCATAATGTGGGGCATGCGGAATGCTGCGGAGGGGAAGGTCTGTTTTGAGTTGGTACTACTGTGAGTCTGATACTGCCTGTGAGCTGGAGGTGGCTCACCATACATGTCTTTTTGTCTGTCTACCTACCTGTCTATCTAGACATCCTGCAGAGCCTGACTGTTGCCCAGCTGAGACCCACAACTGTGTTTATTTTTATAGTTAGGTATTCCTAACCAGATTATAAGTAATTTGAGAGTCGGGTTGTATTTTATAATTCTGCATTCTCCACAATGAATAACACTTTTGCAACATATTCAGGAAGGACGTAATTATCTGGCTAGAAGCTGATGTGTTATTTATATTCCAGTAGAAATTGAGACTAATTCTTCAATTTTGGGGCACTGGAATGACTAAATATAGGGAGGTTAGGTGAGAAACTAATGTAGGATTTATGACACTTTCCAGTTACAGTGGGGAAAGCGGTATTAACTCCTGTCTTTTCTTCTATGATTGTATATCTTCTGCCTCAACCTTATACTTAGAGGCAGGTCTATTAGTGAAATGTTTGACTTTTAGTTTTTACTAAGTTAGTAGCTCAAAGGACCTCCTAGTTTTGATACTAGGAGCATAGGAACCTAATGCAAAGTAAAACGTGATTCCATGTTGTAAGATTTGATTTAACGCCACATTCCACTTTTCAGTAATCTGTGCATTTTCACACCTACTCCTGCTTTCTCTTTTTGAACTGAAGCAATCTCATGGGTAATGACCTGATTTTCCTTCTTCAGTACAGGTTTTAGTCTCTCTATGTTGCTTTTGAATTGGTTTAAAGAGATACATTTAAATATAATATATAATTCTAGTTCCAAATTGTGTAGTCAAAGAGGTTTCTTGTCTAAGCTGTAACTGATTTGTATATATTATTTTTAAATTAACATTTACAGTGCACCATGGTTTGTTATGCTAGGTGTTTAGCCTTTCTTGCAAGTTAAATGCAATATTCTATTATATGAAATATTTTAAGATACTAAAATGTAAACTACATAGTGGCATGGATAGGCCAATAGCCATCACAGTGTGAATTGAAGGAGTGCTTCTCCCCTATACGGTATATATTCATCACAGTGTGAATTGAAGGAGTGCTTCTCCTCTATACGGTGTATATTCATCACAGTGTGAACTGAAGGAGTGCTTCTCTGTACAGTATATAGTCATCATGGTGTTAACGGAAGGAGTACTTCTCTGCATGGTATATGTTCATCACAGTGTGAATGGAAGAAGTGCTTCTCCTCTGTGTGGTATATGTTCATCACAGTATGAACTGAAGGAGTGCTTCTCCTCCATGTGGTACATGTTCATCACAGTGTGAGTGGAAGGAGCACTTCTCCTCTGGTGTATGTTCATCACAGTGTGAATTGAGGAGTGCTTCTCCTCTGTGTGGTATATGTTCATCACAGTGTGAATTGAAGGAGCGCTTCTCCTCTGTGTGGTATATGTTCATCACAGTGTGAATTGAGGAGTGCTTCTCCTCTGTGTGGTATATATTCATCACAGTGTGGATTGAAGGAGTGCTTCTCCTCTGTGTGGTATATGTTCATCACAGTGTGAATTGAAGGAGTGCTTCTCCTCTGTGTGGTATATGTTCATCACAGTGTGGATTGAAGGAGTGCTTCTCCTCTGTGTGGTATATGTTCATCACAGTGTGAATTGAAGGAGTGCTTCTCCTCTGTGTGGTATATGTTCATCACAGTGTGAATTGAAGGAGCGTTTCTCCTCTGCGTGGTATATGTTCATCACAGTGTGAATTGAGGAGTGCTTCTCCTCTGTGTGGTATATGTTCATCACTGTGTGGATTGAAGGAGTGCTTCTCCTCTGTGTGGTATATGTTCATCACAGTGTGAATTGAAGGAGCGTTTCTCCTCTGCGTGGTATATGTTCATCACAGTGTGAATTGAGGAGTGCTTCTCCTCTGTGTGGTATATGTTCATCACAGTGTGAATTGAAGGAGTGCTTCTCCTCTGTGTGGTATATGTTCATCACAGTGTGAATTGAGGAGTGCTTCTCCTCTGTGTGGTATATGTTCATCACAGTGTGAATTGAGGAGTGCTTCTCCTCTGTGTGGTATATGTTCATCACTGTGTGGATTGAAGGAGTGCTTCTCCTCTGTGTGGTATATGTTCATCACAGTGTGAATTGAGGAGTGCTTCTCCTCTGTGTGGTATATGTTCATCACAGTGTGGATTGAAGGAGTGCTTCTCCTCTGTGTGGTATATGTTCATCACAGTGTGAATTGGGGAGTGCTTCTCCTCTGTGTGGTATATGTTCATCACAGTGTGAATTGGGGAGCGCTTCTCCTCTGTGTGGTATATGTTCATCACAGTGTGAATTGAGGAGCGCTTCTCCTCTGTGTGGTATATATTCATCACAGTGTGGATTGAAGGAGTGCTTCTCCTCTGTGTGGTATATGTTCATCACAGTGTGAATTGAAGGAGTGCTTCTCCTCTGTGTGGTATATGTTCATCACAGTGTGAATTGAAGGAGCGTTTCTCCTCTGTGTGGAATATGTTCATCACAGTGTGGATTGAAGGAGTGCTTCTCCTCTGTGTGGTATATGTTCATCACAGTGTGAATTGAAGGAGTGCTTCTCCCCTGTGTGGTATATGTTCATCACAGTGTGAATTGAAGGAGCGCTTCTCCTCTGCGTGGTATATGTTCATCACAGTGTGAATTGAGGAGTGCTTCTCCTCTGTGTGGTATATGTTCATCACAGTGTGAATTGAGGAGTGCTTCTCCTCTGTGTGGTATATGTTCATCACAGTGTGAATTGAGGAGCGCTTCTCCCCTGTGTGGTATATGTTCATCACAGTGTGAATTGAAGGAGCGCTTCTTCTCTGTGTGGTATATATTCATCACAGTGTGGATTGAAGGAGTGCTTCTCCTCTGTGTGGAATATGTTCATCACTGTGTGAATTGAAGGAGTGCTTCTCCTCTGTGTGGTATATGTTCATCACAGTGTGGATTGAAGGAGTGCTTCTCCTCTGTGTGGAATATGTTCATCACTGTGTGAATTGAAGGAGTGCTTCTCCTCTGTGTGGTATATGTTCATCACAGTGTGAATTGAGGAGCGCTTCTCCTCTGTGTGGTATATGTTCATCACAGTGTGGATTGAAGGAGTGCTTCTCCTCTCTGTGGAATATGTTCATCACTGTGTGAATTGAAGGAGTGCTTCTCCTCTCTGTGGTATATGGTATATGTTCTTTCCTCTGTGTGGTATATGTTCTTTAAAGGGAGCAGCCACTGTTTCCCACCTCATTGAAATTCACACTGCATCCAGCACTACTGGAAAAGTAATGAAAATGCTGGGACTACAGGGCTTTATTTTACTGTTGAGAATTCTCCGTGGTTACAGTATTATGTAGTGCCTAATTCTCCTGGTGTCGCCTTCGTTTTAAATAGTGATTTTTATTTTCAGTCCAGTGATCCATTTCATTCATTAACCCCCTAACCACTGAGTAAGCTTCATGTCACAAAAGAGCTTCCATTGGATTTATTACAAATATAAATATTCTAATTATTCCCGAATCTCAATGTATGTATTCTCATTTGCATTAAAAACTATGGCTTTTAAGTTAGACTCGGAAAGGATCAAAGTGCTGCAATAAGAGAATAAATGCTGCGCTTCTCCTGGACTGTGGTCTCAAGTGTTATAACTGTTGCCATAGCAAAATTAGGCTAAATTTCCTAAAATCTGTTCAGTGCTCCCAAGGAAAAACTCAACTGGAGCATAAGAATTTTCATCTCACTTTTTCCCCTTTTGTTTGATTTCCTCTCCTTAACATAAAATAAACATTGGTTGTACCCTTCCTTTTGAAAAATTGATTGCTGTGAGAAGTTGACTTATATTGGATCTTGCATGTAATGTGTGCAGATTTGTACCCAAAGCAGTAATTATCATTCATGCCATGCCTTTTTGTATCAAGTCCTGTTTCTGATGAACTGGAGCCCCATATGAGTTAAAGCAGTTTTGAAATGTAAGAGATACTATCTCTAGGATATTATGAAATGTTTCGTGATGTTATTTTGATATTTCCCTTGCAGTTTAAAGAAAGTAACTTCTTTTTTCTGTGTGTCAATTGGAATGTGTGTGTACATTATAGCAATGACCAGAAAACAATTTTTAATATGTAGTTTATAGTTACTATGTAGAAACTTTTCTGAATACTGTAAAAAATTATTGGTGCATAAAATTTGTTATATTACATGCTTTTATGTATTATACTCTTCCATATAGTGGGGATATATATTTACTTATTTTATTAAATAGATCTATTGCTGATGCTGATATCTACTGCCCAGTGACTACAGAAGCTCCTTTCTGGACAACCCGTTTATTACACTCTCCATGTATCCACAGCTATATCAGAAAAGCAGGAAACCAGAGAAAATATACCTATTTGAAAGTGGCATGTCAGCTGGGATGAGAGAGAAGAGTAAGAATGATGGATAGTTTTAGAGAATAAGACTGCTTTCAGGAATGAATGAAGACAAGCATCCGAGCACGTCCAATGCCATGCTTAGCAATAACCCACACAACTCACTGGCCAAAAGTACACTAAGTCTGTAATCGGAAAAATTCTCTGGAATAAAATAGAGACTCATATGGAAGTATTCAGGTGAAAATATACATCATATGATAAATAGTTCTGTCAAAGTTAGGAAACTGAGTAACTGAGAGAGATACTACTGTGAGAGAAATTGATTTGCTGTGATTTGCTGTACATATGTATCAGAACTGCACTATGAAATATGGTAACCAGTAGCCACATTTGACTACTTAAGTAATTAAAATCAAATTAAAAATTAAGTCTTTCTCTTGCACTAAACACATTTCAACTGCTCAACAGCCACGTGTGGCCAGTGGCTACCATATTAAATGGTGCTGATAGAAAAGATTGTATCATTGCAGAAAGTTCTATAGGACAGTTCTGCTCTGGGAGAATTTCTTCTCAATCAAGAGAGGCACAAAGATTATGATACTATTCTTTGACAAAAATAAGTCCAACAAGCTAGTTCTGACTGTGTGCGACTGTAGTCCTAGTTACTTGGAGGCTTAGGCAGGAGGATAGCTTGAGCCCAGGAGTTCAGGTCTAGCCTGTGTGGTACCTTGGACTGATTATTGGATCTCTCCAGAGTTGGCAATGCACAAGATAGGACAGCATTCTAGCCTAACTCCTGGTTCTCTCTTCCCTTTCCCATTTTCCTTACGTTGTCATTTCCTATGTACTTCTTTTAAAATTTATTTTCGCTTATTTTCTTGAATGTGTTTATGCAAACTAAATCTTTCTGGTGAGCGATTGCAGATTAAAGGGAAATGGCCTATTCTTTCTCTTTCTGCCTTTGTTTCTTTACATGTGAAAAAAAGATTGATGTCATTTGTTTGAGAATTAATGAATTGATCACTTGGAGCAATTGTAAACATGTGGAGCATTATATACAGAATAGCATGTAGTTCAGAAGAAAACCAGGTCATGGCTTTAGGAAAAGTCATGGTTCCTAAAAGTTCGGTGAATTACCAGATTAGAAAATCTTCACACATTCATTAGAGTAGCATTTAAATACTGTGATATTAAACGTTGTCATGTGTTTGGATAATGTGAAGTTTGTGCCTCACTTTTGGGGTCCACCTGCTTAACACTTGGAAAAATCTTGAAGGCCCAGATTTTTAGAGCTGAAGGTAGATATAAGTCTGTTTTAGGTTTAATGTTTTAGGAACACATTAAAATACTTCTAGTATCTTGCCATTTTCTGAATACCTCAAAACGCTTGAAAGGCACGTGCTATGATTTGAATGTTTGTCCCTCCAAAATGCGTGTTGAAATTTAATTGCCACTATATCAGTATTAACAGGTGGAAACTTTAAGAAGTGATGAGGCTATGAGAGTTCCACCCTCATGGGTGGGATTGGTGTCAATATAAAAGGTGAATTCGGCCCCCTCTTGCTGTATCTCGCCCCTTGCCTTCTGTCACGAGATGACGCAGTCAGAGGTCCTTTGCTGGATATTAGCACCTTCCCAGCCTCCAGAACTGTGAACTGTTTATCCTAAATTACCCAGTCTGAGGTATTTCATTATAACTGCGAAAACAGACTATGGTAGTGCATAATTTAACTTTGCATCATCTCTATAAGATGGATAAAGGGCAATTGTAAACTTTATCCTTCTATAAAGAGAGTTGCAAAATTTAAATTTCAATAGGATTAAGTAAATTATTGGCATTATTTTGTTCAATGGCAGGTAGACTGAAACAATGTAACACCTTCTATCACAAACTTATTCAATAGGTTATTACTAATTATTTGATTTAAATAGACACTAATCCCTTTTTTTTAAAATTAGTAAGATAAATGGATTTCAAAGAATTATTGCAGGATGATAAGATGAGGAACAAAAACCAAATGTAGAATTTCTCAAGAGAACGGTAATGTAGAATTTTTGAAGGTGAGCAAAGAAAATTTATTGGATAATATTCTAACATTATTTTTATAATGAATTTAATTTTAAAATAAATGAAGAACTAATTGAACATTTAGAGTAATAGTCATCCTTAGTGAATGTGAAACAAATAGTGTAGCTTTATTTGTGGAAATTGTTACAGCCCCATTAGGTTGCTATTCATGGTCTAAATGAAGTTAATTGTAGCTTCGAAATTTGTATGAAAATGTAAAAAAAGTTGGCTCAAAAATTCCACTTTATCTATTTATTCATTTTTAGTTTTGTCATCCCAAAGATGTTTTGATTTTTGTCTCAAAGATCATGGGAACTTCTTAAAGCAATGGAAGTATCTAAAAATAATATACATACTAAAAAAAAGAAGGCTTCTTTTAGAAAAAACATTATATTTAGATGATGGAGGTTTAATTTTTTTCATAAAGTGATGGTGCTGCTGGAAACACCTTGTTTTCTCTGAGAAACTTATACAGAAAGGAATAGCAGTAGAATAAAGATTTTGAACTTCTTAACCAAAGGAACCTAGATTGTCACTTCAGCCACCATAAAATGTATCTATTAATAGATACTAAAAAGTTATGGCTGTTTAGGGTTTTATGCTGCTGTCAGCTTGACCTATAGGCAATGGACCAGGAAAGAGATCAGGTCAAGTGCCATCAACTGTTGCTAAAAATGGCAACAAAGTAGAGTGGAAATCAGAACCAGATACTTGATTTTCTTATGCCTCAAAATGTTGGAGCCTCGGGTAGGAGTACCACACAGTCCATTACTCTATGAACTTTGTGTTGTCTTAAAAAGGACACAATCCCAAGAGTCCTGTAAGATAACTTTTAATGATAAGTAAACATGGAAGCCAGTTGAATTGCCCTGCTTTAGGGCCTTCTGAAGTAAACATTGAAATAAGGAAATGTGAGGCCGGGCGCAGTGGCTCACGTCTGCAATCCCAGTACTTTGGGAGGCTGAGGCAGGTGGATCACTCAAGGTCAGGAGTTTCAGACCAGCCTGGCCAACATGGTGAAAACCCATCTCTACTAAAAATACAAAAATTAGCCGGTCATGGTAGCATGCGCCTGTAATCCCAACTACTCGGGAGACTGAGGCAGGAGAATTGCCTGAACCCGGGAGGCGGAGGTTGCAGTCAGTGGAGATCTGCCACTGCACTCTGTAGTTTGGAGTTTGGGTGATGGAGTGAGACTTTGTCTCCAAAAAAAAAAAAAAAAAAAAAAGGAATAAAAATAAGGAAATGTGGTGTTAGGTAAATATAAATAACATAGCATATGATGCCAAATCTATTTTATGAAAATATTTATCACAGATTTTTAGAGATCGGTGAGACCTTAGGAAATTATTTGAATACTTATGTGTAAACTAATATTATTTTCATTTTATGCATAAAGGTAGAGTGGCTGGAGAGGTTAAGTGATCTCTTCAAGTTCAAACTGTTAATAAGATGGCTAAAAGGACCCAGTTCTCCAGCCTGGAATCTTTAGGACGGAGTTTCATCCACCACTCAAAGTTGTCTTCTTCTTCCTTCTTCCTTCTTCTTCTTTCTTCTCTTCTTTTTTTTTGAGATGGAGTCTCACTCTGTCACCCAGGCTGGAGTGCAGTTGTGCAATCTCAGCTCACTGCAACCTCCGCCTCCCACGTTCAAGTGATTCTCCTGCCTCAGCCTCCTGAGTAGTTGGGACTTCAGGCGCCCGCCACCACACCCGGTTAATTTTTTGTATTTTTAATAGAGACAGGGTTTCACCATGTTAGCCAGGATGGTCTCGATCTCTTGACCTCTTGATTCACCTGCCTTGGCCTCCCAAAGTGCTGGGATTACAGGCGTGAGCCGCCGCACCCGGCCAAAGTTGTCTTCTTTAATCCTCCTGAGGGCGCCCCAGTGCATGAGCTGAAATTAAAGCATAAACGGGCAGAACACAAAGCCAGCACTTCCCAAAACAGAAACTTAGTTTTCTAGTAGAAGAAAAAGTGGAAAGTACATCTAACCATGTACTGTGATGTGTTCTCATGAAATTATTGCCCCACTTCACCTCAGGGTCTACCATTTTACTACAAAGTATATGGGACGTTGGACTTGGTTAATATTCTTCATGATCTAAGACTGTTTGAAATGTTGAGGTTTAGAATTTAATATGTCAAAAATCACAAGCATTTATTAAAGATTAATTATCAATATTAAAATTAGGGAGAATAAATAACCTCATCTAATAATCTCATAATGCTAAATAAATTCAAGAGTAGATTTTGAAACCAAGGAAGATGAACTAGATGATTTATAAGGTCTTCTTGAGCTTTAAAGTTCATTAATGAAGATTATTAAACACTTTTGGTTTTAATATCTTTCATAGAAAATATATTTAATTCTGTTGCCTTCTTGGAGTACTTGCATATCTCCACTTTATTCAGAGGTTAGTATGAGATTCTTATAGCAGAGTTTCTCTTTATTCCAAATGTAAATTTAAAAATCAAAATAACAAAGCTGTAAAAAGACTAGAAATGGTTCTGTTTCCCAGTTCCACTCTAACCCATATTTGAAGGAAAGTGGACGCATCAAATGTGTGTGATCTTTATGTGTAAACACTAACACAAATGGTGGCAGACGCTGCAGTGACTCGAGTGAAGAAGTTTTAGTCAGTTAATGGGTTATATAATCAGCATCAAAAAATCAATTCTAGGCAAACTATACCACTAACTGAATGTTTTATTTTCTGTAATTTATAATTATTCTAGCACAGCCATTGATGAAAATATATCTTAGGTCTCATGTAGATTAAATAAATCTGTAGTACATGGCCTCATCTTTAACTTGTCTTTATGTAAATTTAAAAGAATGATATTTAACTCATGCAAAGTGTGCTTAGTGGAAAAGAAAGTCCTCTGACATGTTAATGGAATGCTGTGAAATGCATTTATAATACATTTAGAAATTCGGTATCAGTATGAAGCAACTAACAGGGGCTTTCACAGGTCATTTAGTTCCTCTTCTTCTTCTGTCAGCATAGTGTCCAAAACATTTATGGAGGTAAAAATGCTACACTTTGAGTTCGGGTTTATAGAGCAGGTGTGTGGAAGTTTATTTTAGGCAAGAAGAAACTTCAAAGAACAGATTGGGAGACAGTGTGAAAAAAAGCAAGTAAACATATTATGGAAACCGATCTTGTCAAAGGTGACTAGATCATACATTGGCCTTCATTATTGGAAATAATTTGGAAATTGGATTCATAATGAAGTTTCCACCATTTCCAGTTAGAAGAGCATCTTACATCTTTTGTATTGTGTTCTTTGAGATACATCTAGCCTTGCAATCTTGTAATATTTACCGAATGCTACTATTTTGCACACATTTTTAAAAATGAAGAATATAGTTGTTACGAATCCCTCCGCAAAACCTCTGATTAGATTTGGCAGAAAAATATGGAGAGATTGAACAAAAGAGATACTAGGTCTGAGATGTATGTATGTTGTAGATCCGTATGGTTTATTCAGGAACTTCAGCAGAATGACTCGAAGAGGAAAACAAAGAAGGAGATGATTACAGATGCTCCAGAGACACTGTCTTTCCGTAACTTCTGTTGTCACCTGTGTTAAGTGTGTGCTGGTGCGGGCTCGCTCTCCTGTGCTCTAGCTCTCTCACACACTTGTGCACAACTTCTGAAAAGACTGCTATGTAGTTATTGTCTCTTCCTTCTCCCCTGTTCCTCACCTTCCATTCTCTTTTCAGCCCATTCTAATGGGACTTTCTTTTCTGACACTTCATTACAGTTGTTCTAATAAGGTTACCAAAGACCTTTAGTCTTGCCAAATCTGGTGTCTTTTCTGTTTTTTTTTTTTTTTTTTTTTTTTTTTTTTTTTTTTGACTTTTCAGCAGTCTTCCACATAACTGACCCCTATCTTGGCTCCTAGTACTCAACACTCTTCTTGTTTTTCCCTCTGTTTAGCCATTTCTTTTCAACATCTTTTGACGGCTGTTGATGCTCTGTTTAACCTTTAAATACTGGAATTATGAAAGGCTGAGTCCTGAGCTTTCTTCTCCTTTCTTTCTCGTTAAATAAACCCTCTCCTTAAAGGATTCTAATTTATTTCTATGACTTTAAATACCCTCTTTGATGCCAATATACTAAAAAAAAAATTGTATCTCCAGCCTTGATTGCTATACTGAGCTCCCGTTCGTATGTCCAGCCATCTACTGGTTTCATCCTCACTTGGATATTTGAAAAGCATCTCAAACTCAACATAGCCAGAGCAGAACTCTTGATTCCTCGGCTCCCTCTGCCACCTTCCTTTTTCTGCTTCTGTTTTTCCCACCTCAATAATTACCCCCAGTCAAGTGCTCAGTACAAAAATCTAGTCATTACTCTTAATTTTTTTTCTGTCACTTACCCCCATCACCACTGAATTCATTAGCAAGTCCTATTAACATTTTCTTTAAAATATGTCTAAAGTCTGTTTCCCCTGCTTTCTTTGCCACCAGTATAGTCTAACGTAACATCATATCTTGCCTGAGCAATCATAGTAGTCTTCCTTCTGTCCTTCCTCCTCCTCCTTCCTTTCCTGCTCCTCTATATTCTTTCTCAGTGGCGCCCACAATGACCTTTTAAAATATGAATTAGGTAATCCCTGCACCTTCCCTTAAAACCTTCCATCGACTTCCATTACACCTAGAATACAGTGTGAATCCCTTATGCTATTTCAGTACTAATATATCTGCCCCTGGGTTTCCTCTCTGATGTATTGCTATACTTTGGATACATCCCCTTGACCACACCTCAGCCACACTGGCTTTCTTTCTGTCCCTTTAACCTACCAAGTTCATTATCAAACAGAGCCCTTGCAGTTGCTAATTCCTGTGCTTGTACTGCTTCGGTCTTCAGGGCACAGTTCAAATGCCACACCCCACCCCAGAAAGGTCCTCTCTGACCACTCAGTCTAAAGGAGCTTCCCATTACATCTACTGTATCATATTCTCCTTGGAGGATTTAGCATTATCTGAAGTATTTTTGTTCACTTACTTGTTTATCTGTTCATCGTCTCTGAGCTTTATGAGGACAGAGTCCTTTTGCCAGTCTTGTTCTCTCTGGTAGGCAGTGTATGAAAAAAGATAAAACAGAACCCCCAAAGAAACCTGTGTGTAGAATGAAAGATTCTCAGAAGAATGCTTGTAAATAGAAGAATCTAAATCCTCTTACAGATGAGAAGTCTTGAAAATGAAAAGAATCCTTCAGTTCTTTTTAGTTTATAAACGAAGCTGATTTTGAAAATAAGCCAAATTGAATGCTATGATGTGATTAAGTTCATCCAAATGAAATTATAGAATTTAGCAATTCCAGCATATTGTAATTACTGAAGTATTCCGTATTGTAAAGGACCATTTAGTGTACACAATTCCAGTCAGCTGTGCTTGTCAGGTAAGGGAAGAGTTAATGAAGAAGGAGGAAAACAGAGAAGGGGTAGTAGTCCTACAAAGTGACTCTAAGGTTAGGTCAAATCTTTGTGTCCCTTCAATACCAATAGTATAGGTATAGGTACCTTCAGCACCTATAGTATAGTCGTAGGTCCATAAGAAAAGCAAGGAGTATTAGGTGTCCTTTCTGGTGACACTGACTCCATTTTCAGTATATACATAAGATGACAAAATGAGCAAATACTTTGTAAAGTGCTATATGCCTCCCTAAAGCAAGAGGTCCAGGAACAAGAAACTAGAATTATGGAGATTGGAAGGTGTCTGAATTTTACAGGAGACTCAGGCTGCCTCTATCTTTTCCAGTTCAGTAGTTACTCCCAGTCAGGTGCTCAGGACCAAAATCAAGGCATCGCTCTTGATTAATTCTTTCTGTCATCCCCTACCACCATCCCCTTCATCAGCAAGTCCTGTTAGCATTCTGAGAACACCTTCCATCTCTGGCAACACTGCTGTCTTCTTGGCTCACTGAATCAGTTGTGAGTGGTCATACATCTGTGGCCCCACGGCTTCCTTATGACCACTTTTCTCCTCACCCTGGGTACAGGAGACTCTCTTTCCTGAGGAGACCTCTGTTCCCCTCCCTGTCTTGAATCAAAGGAGTTGGGCAGATGGGTAAAAGCTCTTTGCTGGAACCTTCAGGAAGGAATCTACAAATTACTGATCTCAGAAACAGGAAATGTGTGACAATGAATGTCAAGGGCTATCTTTATGCTATAGGAAATAAACTATTTAACTTCATCTATCTTCATGCTATAGGGAATAAACTAACTTCATTGGAAAGATTTTCATGTATTAGATGTGAAATTACAATATTAGAGCACATACGATTTAGCATCAAATGTACCGTGATTATTACTGTAGGACAACTCTGCCCCTTCTAAACCGCATGGTGACCCACTCATTATATTCTGTATATTTCTTCAGGAGACAATGAGAGGCCACTGAAGTATGATTGTAGAACATTGAGTTCTTTGCATCCTTCAGTTTATATTAATGTTTTAGGTCTAAACTTTTCTTTTTCCCTAAATTGAAATCACCTTTGACTCCTTTGTGAAAAGAGTAATGATAAAAGTTTTGACTTCTTCTTATCAAGGAGGATTTCATAAATTAAGGAAGGATATATTCATGAAGAATCTACTCTATGACAGGAGCTCTTGCTGATAACTTTTATATATTTTATATAATTCTCAGGAGGACCTTGTGAGTTAGGTCTCACTGTGCTTGCGTGTTCAAATGAGGCAATGGAGGCTGTGAGAAATTAAGTTACTTGTTTAAGTTTACACAGCTAATGAGGCACAGATCGGCTCAAATCCTGTTCTTATTTCTGAGTTCAGTCCATTTTCTGTAATATGGATCTCTCTGTGCTTTGTTCCTTGTCGATAATAAAGTCCGTAATAATACCTGTAATATCTATTTCTTAGAGCTATGATAATCAGATGAATGTGAACACAATACCTATACAAATTTCCAGTTCTATTATGATTATTAGTAGCATTCATTTAACCACATTACCAAAGTGTTCTTTTAATTCACTGGCACTTTATACAGGATTTCTGAATACAACAGTGGATATTTTATCTGTTAGACTCCTTGTAGTTATGTTTGGGTTGCTCTGAGAATGAGTTTTACACCCTTCCAATTGTTGGCAAATAGTCATACTGAAGAAAAACTGCCCATCTGTTCAGATGCTAGCCAAAACATCACAAACAGTCAAAATAGCAGATTCAACCCTATGTGAATTGTGATGAGACAATATAACAGGATATAAGTCATACTGTCATGGGGTCTTTGGGGTGTCACTTTTCTGGCCGGAAACATGTGACTGGTGGTGCCCTTGCCTGAGTTTTGCTTGGACCTGCTGGGCTTGTTCCACCCACTCGCCCTGGCAGGCTGCGCTCAGCTCATGCTACCAGCCTGGATCCCGTGCTTCAAAGGGAGTCTGGAGTCAGGCATGGAGTGGTGAGGGGTGTGTGTCAGCAAACGTGGGGTCCGCCCACTGTGCGGTCAGACACACCAGCTGCTGCTATGGTGTGGGCAGCTCCAGGTGCTGGCGTGAGCACCAGCTCTCTGTGAGGCTGTGGCTGGACCGGGTTCACTGCAAGCGGCTTTCCCGTCTGGCACCGGGGAATGTGGTGACATCCCGGAAACTTGGAGATGCCAGGAACCACAGGGCCCCAAAGAAGGGCTCACAGCCCTGGCTCAGGGAGCTCCCAGGTCTGGGCTACCCGAAGGGTTGCAGCTCCTTTCTCCTTCTCTTTGCCCACAACGTGGCGAGCAAGGGGCATGTTTTAGCCCTGTTTGTGTTACAGTAGCTCTTTTAGCCTCACCATTCGGTGGGTCCTGAGTTCTTGTCCTGTGACCAGGAAGAATGAGGTATGCAATGTGGAGGGTGAGCAGGATGAAGAGGAGCTTTACTGAGCAATAGAACAACTCAGAGAAAACCCACAGTGGGCAGGTCCTCTCCGTAGCCAGGATGTCCCAATGAGCGTTCAGCTCCTTAGCAGAGAGACTTGCTCCCCTCTGCTGGTAGGTCATCCCAACGAGTGTTCAGTTCTCAGCAGAGAGGGTAGCTTCTCTGTTTGGCTAGTTGTTCCGTTGTCTCCAGCTCTTGGCAGAGAGGAGGCCCTAGAGTAAGAGACTGTTCTCTGCAGGCAGGTCGTCCCATCATCTGCAGCTCTAGGCAGAGAGGGTAGCTCCTCTCTGCAGCTGGTCGTCCCATCATCTGTCTGTTCTCTCAGCAGAGAGGAGGCCCCAGAGTGGGTTGCTCCCCTCTGCAGCTGGTAGTACCATCTCTGCAGCTCTCAGTCTAGAGAGGAGACCCTGGAGTGGGTAGCTCCTCTCTGCAGCTGGTTGTCCCAGTCTGCTCAGCTCTGACTGAGCCTGGGGCATTTACAGGCCTCAGAGGGGAGGAAGTTTGCACTGATTGGTCCATAGGTGGCCATGGGTGGGCCGGAAAAGGCACCACAAGTTTCCACTCCATGCCCCGGAACTGGCAGCCCAGCCCCCAGCCTTCAGGCCCTTCCTGGCTTGACAATGGGGCCTCACTGGTGACCAGGCCCCATCCGCCCAGGAACCTGCCTGCCTCCTGCTGCTGTTCATGGTGCCCGGACTCAGCCCTGACTTTGCTCCCAGGTCGGAGTGGGCATCGATAGCAGAGAGAAGCCAGGCAGCTGAAGCAGGCATTTCTGAGACTGTGAGTGCAGTCAGGGGCCTTCCTGGGCCCCCCAAAGTGCAGGGATGTCTGGATCCACAGCTGTGGTTTGGTCAGCTGCAGCTGTGCCCAGGCAGGTGGGGCTCCCACCTGCTTCGTGGAGCAGGAGTCCCAGGTCTGCAGCCATGGTTTGGGAGGCTGCAGGTGCCTGGGTCTGCAGCTGCATGGTGGGTTGGGGAGAGCATGGCGGGTGGGGCGGGTGGGGTCTTCTCCCTGCTCTGTGGAGTGTGCAGGCCCGGCCATTCCTCCTCACTGCAGCTGGTGTGATGGTAGCAGTGGGTCGTCTGGAATGGCCACTACCATCAATATCCTAGTCAACAGATGTGGAAGGAGGTAGTGTCCATTTGGGACAATTTAAGATTTTCATCATCTAAATTTAAGGCTGGGCTTAGAGGAACGTAAATGCCAAAAAATTGCGTTTAGATATCATTATATTTGAAATCAAATGAACAGCAATAATGAAGCAGTATATTTCCCTGACACCCTCGTGGGACTTGCAACAGGGGTGTTCTGTTTACTCACCTGCAGCTCTCAGCTCCTCACAGGAGGGAGTGCATGAGTCAACAAGGTGGGAGGTGGAGTACATGGTCGCTGGAGTCAGCCAGCCACTACGGCACCAGCAGTGAACCCCACTCAGTCGGATCTGCTGCGTTCCACCCCTCATGAAAGGAGGCATGCAGGTGTGTGAGTGCAGGAGCCTGGGTGAGTGTTTTTTGGTTGCTGGCAGGAGCCAACTCTGTGCTTGCCTGCAGCTGCATCTGGGGGCTGGGAGTGCCTGTGACCACGAAAGCCCCAGAGGGAGTGTTACAGTGACCTTTTAGCTCTGCTCTCTGCAGACGGCTTATGCGTTAACAGCTCAATGGGCCCTCTGCCTTTTCGCATGAGGCAGCTGCCTTCTGCTAACGAGGGCAAAGGGTCAGTGTGACAACCTTTTTGTCTTCACACTCATGGCTCCAGAATCTTGTCTGGCATCTGGGAGAAATGAAGTCACACGAATGAATTGAAGGATGATAAATGCAGGGAGTTTTATTGCCAATGGAAGTGGCTCTCAGTGGCAAGGTGAGCTGAAAAGGGGATGGGGCAGGAAGGTAATCTTCCTGTGAAATGCGGTCATCTCTGGCCAGATTCTTCTCCAGAGTTACCCCGTCAGGCTGTCCCTCTGAAGTCAAGCTGCTTCTCTCCGACATCCAGCTGCAGTCTTTGATGTCCAGCTGCTTCTCTTCTCTCTGCTGGCTGGATCTGGGGTTTTTATAGGCACAGGGTGGGGTGGGATAGGGCCACAGGTGGTTTTGGAAAAGGCAGCATTCAAGCAGGGAAACAGGGATGTAAGTTCTACTTTGGGCCATGGTTTGAGGCTTGAAGGTGGGGTTTTGTTGGGGACCACCATTTTCTGCCTAGAATTTCTCTGCCCCCTGTCCCTATCAATAGTTGGAGGGGAAAATCAGGAGTTTTAGTTAAATTAAGCCCAACCTATATAAAAGAGAGGCTTGACAACTCCCAGGCATACAGATAAAGCTATTGGTGCTCTGTGAAATGGAGATCTACATCCCTGGAAAGGGGACAGAATTGACAACGTTGGTCATTTCCTTACCACAGTATCCTGTATTTTCCAGAAGCATGTGATTGTCTTGCTATGATATTCCTGAATGTTACTGGTTTCCTCTTTTTCTAAAGCATGTTTGTTGTGTGCAGAACTAGTATAGCTTCAGGCTTTTGGCTAAGATACCCGTGAGTATTATTGCTTTTTTGTTTTGTTAAATAATTTTTATTGAACACACACAAAATACCTTAAATATAAGGTACAAATAACAGTAAACAAACAACTTGCATAGCAGTCAGCCAGTCTTAAGAAATACAGTGTTGCCACTACTTTTTTTTTTTTTTGAGACGGAGTCTCGCTCTGTCACCCAGGCTGGAGTGCAGTGGCGCCATCTCGGTTTACTGCAAGCTCCGTCTCCTGGGTTCAGGCCATTCTCCTGCCTCAGCCTCCAGAGTAGCTGGGACTACAGCCGCCCGCCACCCCCTGGCTAATTTTTTGTATTTTTAGTAGAGACGGGGTTTCACCGTGTTAGCCAGGATGGTCTCGATCTCCTGACCTCGTGATCCGCCTGCCTCGGCCTCCCAAAGTGCTGGGATTACAGGCGTGAGCCACCGCGCCCGGCCTGTTGCCACTACTTTTAAAGCTGCACAACTGCTTCTCTCTCTTATCTCCCTCTCCACCCCACGAAATAATCACTATCTTGAATCTTATGTTCCTTTCACTGGCTTTTTTTTTAACAGGTTTTCTTGTATGTATTGAAATCAGTTTTTTATGTGTTATAATTTGGTATGTTTTTAACTTTACTCATGTCAGAGTGTACGTATTCTTGTCTACTTTCTTTTTTTGACCTAGTATTCTGAGATTTATTCGTGATGGTCATGTAACTGCAACTCATTCAGTTTTATCGCTGTATTGTTTTCTATGAATGTACCATAGTTTATTTATTTTCTGTTTTTAACTGTTACACATATCATTGCCATGAACATTCATGTATTTATCTTCCATTGAACATGTACAGGAGTTTTTCTTGGATATATAACTTGTAATGGAATTGTTGGGCCATGAGTATGCTTATTGCAACTTCACTAGATAATGTCAAATTGTTTCTGAAAGTTGACTTCATTCGTACTGAACCATCTTCACCAGCATTTGACATTGTGGGATTTAAAAACTGTTGCCAATTTTTACATTAGCACTTTAATTACAATTATATTTATCATTTCTAGATGGTATTTTTTTTCCTAGCTAGACATTAAAAAATTTTCTTTATCCTTCCTCATATTTTCAATCTCTTATTCCTTTAAACATCTTAAACATATTTACTTTAAATTCTGATAATACCAAATTAGAAACTCTTTGTGAGTTGATTCAGCAATATAATACTTCTGCTGAGTCTTGTTCACTGATCTTTGTTTCTTTGTTTTCTTTGTGAGAATTTTTAGTTTATTTATATTTTGAGACAGGGTCTTGGTCTATTACCCAGGCTGGAGTGCAGTTGTACAATCTCGGCTCAGTGCAACCTCTGCCTCCCGGGCTCGAGCGATCCTCCCATCCCAGCCTTCCAAGTAGCTGGGACCATAGGCACACATCACCACGCCCAGTTAATTTTTCGTAGAGACAGGGTCTCCCTACGTTACCCTGGCTTGTGATTTTGTTTTTTAAGCTGTAAGTTCACACTCTTTAGAAATTCTTTGAGGCCTGGATTGAAGGTGTATTCACCCTGAGTGAATTTGCCTTTTGTTTTGATGGATAACTAAGGCATTAACAACCTTGGATCCTGCTCAGGTTAATTTCTGGGCTTGAGGTTTCTTCTCCCACAAAGATAATATAAATTTAGGCTACAAGCTTGGTTAGATGCCAACTTCTGCTTATGAGTCTAGAAAAAAATTATCCCCCTCTGTCCAGTATTTAGGGTCTAGATTGAGAACTTCTTTGCTCTCCCTTGTGTGGAATAGATTTTTTGTAATTTACAGTGATTCTAACTCACAGCATATAGTCCTTGGAAAATCCTAGGTCTGTTCAGGAGTTTGGTTTTAGACTTTCCAGTCTGGATGAGGCCCACACACAGCCTCCAGTGCTTTGTGCCCACGTCTCCGTCAAGGGGAAAGTTCAGGATCCTCAGGTTAGCTAAATGTTTCTAGTGAGAAAGCTAGCTTCAGAGTTTACTTACTGGCCTGGTATCTTTACTTGACTGTAATACTCTAAGGATATTTCTTTCTTATCACTTAAATCATGAATTTTATTTTAATGTTCTCTTTTTAAATACAACTTCTTTTATGCCTTTATTTTTCTTCATTTTTTATTATATTTTCAATAATGCAGAAAAGGTGAAGGAATACAACCAGAAATTTAGCACCTAGATTCATCAATTGTTAGCATTCTAAAAACAAAGACGTTCTCTTTTATAACAATGCCATAGCACGTCTTAGACAATTAGTAACAATTCTCTAATATTTTCTGTAATACCTAATCCATATCAGATTTTCCCACTTGTTCCTAGGTATCTTTTTTGCATATTTTTCCCCAAATGAGGGTACAAACAATGTACTGATGCATTTAGAAGATATTTGTCAGTGCGTCTATCTGGGTTGTTGGGGTCACCATATTGTCCAATATGGAGATGTATTTTATTGTTTGGCATTTTCCTGAAGTCTGCTTATGAGTTTTTTTTTTTTTTTGAAATGGAGTCTTACTCTACTGCCCAGGCAGGAGTGCCATGGCGCTATCTCGGCTCACTGCAACCTCTGCCTCCCGGGTTCAAGCGATTCTCCTGCCTCAGCCTCCTGAGTAGCTGGGATTGCAGGTGTGCACCATCACGCTTGGCTAATTTTGTATTTTTAGTAGAGACGGGGTTTCACCATGTTGGCCAGGCTGGTCTTGAACTGCTGACCTCATGACCTGCCCCTGTTGGCCTCCCAAAGTGCTGGGATTACAAGTGTGAGCCACCGTGCCCGGCCTTGAGTTTGTTTTTCACATTAGTCCAGAGTGCTCCATCTTTCGCTCTCTATTCGGTTTCCTTGTGAGTTATTGACTGTTAGAGTATACAATAGAAAAAATATTTTTATGTCCCTTTTAAGGAATTATACCTTTCAAGTGGAAGATACACACTGACTTTCCTCCAAATAGTTACACATTTTAGATTTTTGTCGTGTCAGTGGACTCATCTCAGGCAGGATTACACCCCAGGGCTTCCTTTAAAAAAGGAAAGTGACATTGGCTTTACGTAACAGAAGCAGTTTGGACATTTCTTTGGACAGTTGAGTTCCGCTGGCCCCTTTCTGTGGCATGCTGCTGCTCAGCCCAGCTGCATGAAGACAGGACAGAGAACGATGGCCACTGAGAGTGATCCAAAGTACTCTGTGGGAGAAGGCAGATGGATAAATATTTTTTCTTAAATGCAAAGCTAACTTAATGTTACTGCCCATTACTGGTAACTTTCTTTAGGGCTTAAGACTTGAAGAATTTAATGTTGCCTGACAAAGTTTTAAGATGGCTCAGCATTAAAAAAAAATGGTGTCTTTGAACAGTAATGAGCGCCAAGTAAGAAATATGGGTGTGCTGACTCTTTTTGATGATCTCAAAGTTATTTATTTAACTACATGCATGAAGCCCCAGCGTGTGTGTGTTTTTCTTTGTCACTGACTTCACAGCAGCTCAGTAGGATTTTAAATATGTATATTTTATATTTTCCTGCACCTGCCCCATGACAATATACATAGACCATGCAAACAAAGATGTATTTAGTGAAGAGATTGCGAAACTGTTTTATTACTGTCCGGATCTCCATTGGAAGTGAAGCTGCTGTTTCACATCCTCTTTAGGCATATCTAGCCGCCAGCAACTGTGCAGATTAGAATCATGAGCTTCTCTTCCACATGCGTGTGGCCATTGTGGTGATGACCGATGAATCATCGCATTTCAACTGGAATGAACAAAAATAGAAAGCTCAGCAGCAGCATTTTTTAGAGAGGTAAAAATCTGCATAAATAAAGAAAATTAAGTGTTTCCATGAATTTTACCTACTAGAAAGTGGAAAAATGTATTTGATAATAGAGCATATATATAAGTTTTATAGTACTGCTAACATAAACATGAGTGGATAATTTTGGGGCTCAGCAAGTTTAGCTGCAAAATGGCTTTGCTATTCTCCATTCCTCTTTGTTTTAATGATCATTCCTCCATATTCAGAAGATTCTGTTTCTTGATTTTTAGGACTGTTCCTAAATATTCCGGTAGCTGTCTTTGGAAGACTGAAAAAATATTTTCTCTTGTCCTTATAGAAAATGCTGGATAGGGCAGAACCTTCTCTCTTCCTGAAAGAGGCCACTGATCTAAATTGGTTTCTCTCTTAGCCTTACTTCTTGGAGGCATACTTATTATGTATTTACTTACTTTGGCATGCTATTTTAAAAATTCCTTGGTTTTTATTTTAAACAATTCCTTCATATATTTCACTTAAATAAATGAGCTGATACTATGAGCTTCAACATATTGGTTTCAAAACTCATCTCTTTGTCTTTTTTCCTTTGTTTTACCTCATATACAGTTAATTGACAGTTCTGTTCATTTTTCCTTTGAGATATCTTGCCATGCTTGGTTTACCATTCCAGCACAGAGTACACAACTCATAGCTGGATTGCTATGACATTTGTCTCCTCTTTGGTTATCTTGCATTCTTTTACCAAATAAAGCTTTCACAAATGTATTATCTCCCTACCATTTTGTGACCTGGGATGTGAAATCTAATCTCTGACTGGATTTCTAGACTCCTCTCTTGTCTTTTTCAACCTTATCATCCACAACTTGCCATTGTAAAGACCAAGTTCCAGTGTTCCATTAGATCAATACCACCATTTCTGTAAACAAACAGATGCAAACATTAAGAACCACAGTCTGGCTAATTCTGGAACAGTACCTAAAATATTAAACCATGACCATCTTTTGCCTGTTGGTGTTAGAAGGGAGCTTTTGGTGTTACGAGAGAGTCACCAAAGAGGACAGGTTATGGAAGCTAGCTCTGCAGAGCTCTTGATAGCAGGAGTTCACAGAGATTATAAACTAGGAAATTCAAGGTGCTTCAGAAAGGTTCTTCTTGAAGGAAGAGAAAGAACTGTGTTCAATGAGAGAAAGCAGCAGAAAAGCACACTAAGTTCGTTCTTTATAGGCAAGTTTAAAACTGGGATTTACTCAATGGCCGATGGCCATTACAGATGCTAAGATATTCTCAGGGACCATGAGAAGATCATCATGCTGAAGTGAGAATGGAGCCAGGGAGGGGAGCATCAGAGTGGGACTGGTTTTGACCTTTGAACAGGGCCACTGTCCTGGCGTGGAAGTGCAGTAGACAGGGCAGGTTGGGTGAACAAACCAGGTAGCTGAGTGTTCCCCTGCCCTTGTTCTAGCAAACTTGGGTGTGCAGGGCCTGAGAATGTTCTGTTGACTTCTGCTGCTCTGTTTTGCTCATGTTATTCCTTTGCAATGGGTGCCTTTCTCCTATCCATTTTCTCAAAGATCATATGTGCTATAATGGTGGAAACACGGACTTAGGAGATAACCTGACTCAAAACTCACTGGAGTTTTGTCTTCTTGCGGATGAGCTGGACCCTAGCCAATGTACTTCACCATTCCAAATCTTCAGTTTCCTCCTTTGATAATGCAGGTATTAACATACATGCTGCTGTGTAAGCATTGGAAAGTCTGGCCCTTGGTGTTTGGGTTTAGAAAAGTGCTTTTGTCAGCATCCATAGTCACAGGTAACTGACAAAAAGAGCATGTGATATCCTGTGTATCTGTGTCGACATCATATGAGATTGAGGAAGGTTGAAAGAATACTAATTTCCCTTGACAGAATTCTTTTAATTTTATTCATTTCTCTGCATCCTTCACTCTTTAGTTTATCTGATGGTAGAGGGTTAGCAGTTGTAGACAGTGTCATCACCTGCCCTGGATGATACTAGAGCTCCTTTTGTAGACAGACTATATATTCTGACACCAGAGAAATGCTGTACCTGAAGGCCCCATATCTTCTGGAAGGACACTGAAGGGAGAGCAAGTTACTGAAATCCATTTCTCATAACCCAAGAACGTCCTGTCTACATTTGTATGCCTTGTGCTTGGTACATATTTGTTGTTTAGATTAACTTAAATTTTATGCTTTCATTACAGCTATTCTCTGTGGAAAATATTAACCAAATTTATTAGATCTTTATGGAAATGAAAAACTGCTGGTCTAAAAATGCTTGGGAAACTTAAGAGTACTATCATTCAACTTGGCAGTACTTGATACCAGTGAGGGTTGAAGTTCTAAGTTGAAATAAAACAGATCGGTTAATAGGAAGTCAAATGAGACTGATAGATTTTATTTGTTGGGACATTTTTCGGTGACCAAATATGCAGTAGACAGTCAATACAAAAAACCTAGAAACGCATAGAAAAAATAAAGAGAGGAAAATAAAAATCACCAAAAATCATTAGCATTTTCATTTGTTCCACTATTTTATCTATGCATTTATGTATTGGCTGCTTTTATGTTTTTCCTGTTAACATTATAGGAATTATTTCCTTTCATAAAATATTCTTGAATACCCTAATGGTACTCATTTATCATATAATTATTACCATTATGCATTTAATCATTCTTCTAATATTGAACATTTTAGTATTTATTATTTTAAATGTAGCAGAAATAAATATCTTTTGTTGGCATCTTTATTTCCTTGAAATAATTGACTAGATATACAATTACTGTGTCAGCATTTTAAATTTGCATATTTAAAAGTTTTGTTGCATATTGCTAACTATCTTTGAAAAAGTTGATTTAGTTTACCAGCCCTGTGTCTTTTCTGGCACATGATGCATTTTTATGTCGCTACATCCTTACCAGTATTGAGTGTTTTAAAAAAATAAAAGCTTTTGATTCCGATTTACTCATTTTGTCTGTTGTAGATATAATCCACCTTAAGTGGAATATTTGTTGTTACTAAATACTTGAGTGATTATCTGAGGTAATATGTATTCTTCTGTATTTATTTATGTGACTTTTTTTTTTTTTACCACAATCTTGTACAGGGATTACATTTTACTCATCTTTATGCTACCCATAGAATTTTTACACAGTAGATATTCAATAAACATGAAAAATAAATATCACACAATATCCACCTTGTTGGATTCCACCACTTACTAACATATCTGCACGTATATACTTCAAGCAAGTATCAAGTTTCTTTATTGGAAGATGTCATGTAAAGTTCCCAAGTCTCATTTTTGGTTTTATATGAAGAATCTATTCATTGGTAGGACATATTGATAAAAATTACTACCTCTTCCCCCTTTTATTTGTCTCCCTCTTGTGTACTTTCTCTGCCTTTTTCCTAAGGTAAATATTGGTATTGTCTATATGCTTTCATCACAGGTACAATTAATTTAGTAGAAACATTGCCCATCTGAAAGAATTATATATTGTGGTATCAGTGGAGAGATGTTTATTTTTTTTTAACATTTTGTTGTTATTGGTTAATAAGAACATGACCAAGACAAGAGCTTTAACAGAGATGTGAGATGTGTATTCAACCAGTCTCTGAAAATCATTTGCTTTTTGTGTTTTATGGCAGTACCTTGTGGATCTGCATTTAGAATGATAATTCATGCTAACGACTTTCATATCCCATGAGGTAGCAGAAATCAATGCTAAAATGGCAGAATGAAACGGTATAGCAAATAAAGTCAATGAGCTGTCAAAGAATTTTTCTTCATCAAACAAATCCCAAAGCACTGGTGTTATACTGACCTTCCCTCACTCCTCTTTCCTGGATTCTTAGACCAATTTGGTTCATGATTTTTTTTTCCTATAATAGAAAAATTAACAAACATGTTTGGTCAGTGAAACAGAAGGTATTTGAAAATGATACCTTGGAGCAGTGTCTCAATCTTCAGGAAAATGGTGAAGAGGAAATACAGCATTGATTGCTGTTGCTAAGCAACGGCTTTCACAGCAGACGCGCCTGGGACAGTGGTGGTGTCTGCCAGCACACCATGCGGGGCCGAAAGCAGTGCAGCACTCATGTTTCTGCGAAATCAGAATTGAAGCCCTGCATTTCCTCCTTCCTCTCGACTTTCTCTGATCAATACCTGAGAAGTTAAGATCGTACGGTCAAATATATAGACTGTGAGAAATTTGGAGCACCTTGGGGATTTTTGGAGAGCTGCGAATGGATTTGTAGAGCCAATTCTGTTTTTTTTGTTTTTGTTTTTTTTTTTTTAGTTTCGCCCTTGTTGCCCAGGCTGGAGTGCAGTGGCACAATGTCGGCTCACTGCAACCTCCGCTTCCCGGGTTCAAGTGATTCTCCTGCCTCAGCCTCCTGAGTAGCTGAGATTACAGGTGCCCGCAACCACGCCCAGCTAATTTTTGCATTTTTAGTAGAGACGGGGTTTCGCCATGTTGGTGAGGCTGGTCTTGAACTCCTGACCTCAGGTGAACCACCCACCTCGGCCTCCCAAAGTGCTGTAGAGCCAATTCTAAAGGAATCAGAATTCCTATTTTATATCAGAAGTACTGTTAGTTTTCTCCTTCATGCATTTATCCATCCAGTCATGCCTATGTTCTCACATATTTAGGGAATATTCAAGGCACCCTGTTACACTTAAGAGCTTGGCATCTCTTACGTTGCTGACATGTGCACTATGCGTGTGATGGTAGGCACCATTGCTGCAGGGTGGTGTAATGGAGAGCATCCTCTTAGGACTGTGACTCTCAAACTTTAGGGCACATTGGAATATCCTGGGCAGATCATTAAAAGCTTTCTCAGCCCCACACTTGGTGAGGTCTGTTACCTATTTCCAGACCTCTGGAATATGTCCTGTTACCTGAGGTCTGGAAAGTAACTTAGGAATATGCATTTTAAACAGGCTCTCTAGGTGATTCTGATATTGGTAGTAGAAGAGCCATTCTTGAGAAATACTGAAGTCGAAGAATTAGTGAAGATTTGACAGAGTTACCAGATAAGATGTCATTTGTCAGTTGTAATTCATGAACGGGGAGGCTACTAACTGTAGTTTTACCTGTTCAGTCTGTTCCCTCCCAGGTTGCCTCTCCTGTGTTTCCATCTTGGACTTGCTCTTGATTCACTAGAGTCAGACTAATTTGAGTTCTTTCCAGAAACTGGAATGTGATTATTCCTTAGTGGGGAGGGGTAGCCCCCCATCACTGCTTGGGACTCATGCAAGAGCAAGAAATGCAAGTATACAAAAGTACCCAAGTCTTGATCTCAGTGTTCTGCAGTACAAACCACTAAGACGGAAATTTCAAACTGCCTTTCACTGAAAACAAAAAGCAAAAGAACAAGGAAACATCTAAATCAACCAGTTACCTTTTTTTTTTTTTACCCCAATGCTGATAATATTTCAGTGGTCTGTCAGTTATGAATCTGACCAGTCCTTTAATAAAATCTTCTATGCTTATAAAGCTTAAGTGATTTTTGCTTATACAGTCTTCTAATAGATAACTCTTTTTTTCCCCCTCTTGTTATATATACCCTGAATCCCAGTTTTGGTCTTAATGCAGACCATGTTTAAGATCTTGGCCTTATGCCATTTTGTAGTACAGATAAATAATTAATGGTTTTTATTAGTTTGTATAATTCATTAACCATTCATCTATCAAGCTGAATGACTTATAGATGGCTTTTACATTTCAAATTGTTCAGAAGTTATTAAGGTCTGTAATTTATCATCACAGCCATTTCTGACCTCGTTCTTGGTCCCTCACTGGAATGATGTTCATTGAATGTGTATGACACAATATGAAGAAAATTAAGTTGCACTAAAGACATTACCAATATGAGTAGGGAGGCTTAAAATGTTGGCAGTAATCAATAGTGGGACTTAATTTGTATATTCTGTGATGGAGACATTTTTATTACATTTATATTTTTAAAATTGATTCCATTTTTAAATTAGTTGCCCTCATTTCAGACTATACTCAACAGCGAAATAATATATTTTCTGAATCTAAATCATCATATATTATTTGACCTTTAGCTGAATCCAGTAGTAAAGATCAAAATGAATTATGCTTGAGTGGAAAGAGGTTTTAATGTTGCTTTACACTTGGTTTTCCCCCATTCCACATGCTGTTTAATATTATTGATTCAGCTTGAATGATCATGAGCCCAAAAACTACTTTAGTTGGTTTTGGCTAATGCATTCTTGGATGCTATGGAAGTGCCTGTAACACCTGAATGGTTCTGCGTAAATAGTCACGCATTTTTATACCGTCCACGAGAGGACATGCAACGTGATTGCCTATGAGCAGCAGAGAACAGTTTTCTAGACGTATGTTTTTCCCTTGGTACAAACATGTAGCTTCCGTTAGCCCTAATAGGAGCTGCGTGTTTGCATCTAAGAATTCAGTATTTAGAATATGACAAGCAGTGAGTATTTGAGGAGTTATTACTGAACCTTTCAAATAAGTTGAAAGGCAGACATGATTTTGAGTACTGGGGAAGTGTATTAATCCCTTAGAAGTGAACTATTCAGAATATTTAACTCTATTATCATGAAGTGTTAGTGAGTAGGGAACTATCCACATGTCTAGATTCCTTTCAGCTTAATAGTGTCTCCATACATTTTACAGTCATATCAGCTCCTCGTAATGCACTTCACCACGTGAAGTGAATGAAATAGCCTCAGTCTTGTTCACAATGACTGGGCCTTTCAAACTCTCCTTATTTAATTTGCTGGCATTATGATGGCTCTTGCAGGACCTCTGTTGCAGAATCAAAATGTGCATGCAGAGAGACAGCTGTGCTTTGATTTAGCCTATGAGATAATAACTATCATTCTAAAATTGTCTTACATCATATAGACACAAATTTCAAATCTCACCTATTTTCCCAGCTCTCTCTTCAGATATGACTTTGCTAGAATGAGGCATATTCTTCCTTGTCACTCTTCATTTTTAAAAAAATTTTGAGAATGTAGATTTACTTCTACTCTGGCAGTTTGCACATCTTGGTTAACTAGACCAATTAATGCAAAAGAATAACCCCCAAATTTACTGCTCCCCAGGTTATTGTCCAGTCCCTGTCTCTTATTAATGTGATTCCTGTGAAAACTTGAGATTGAAGAATATAGTGAAAAAGTACCATCTACCCCAAAAGCAAATCTAAAATGAGAAAACTTTCTTAAGCAAATTCTCCCCTACCAGGCACATGTGATTTATTTTTCTTCCTTCCACTTAGAATTGAAAAAACATGATTCATATCCCATCGTTGTTATAATTTTGTAGACTTCAGAGCTTTTCTTTTTTCTTTTCTGTTTTAGTTAAGTTGTACGTTTCTTTGTATGTCCTTTTGTCTTTTACTGTTTGTAAGTGTCCTTGATAGATATTACCATAATGGCCCTTTCCTTTAGCTTATACTCCTATGTTATGATTTGTTTTCCACATCACCTTTATTTAGTAACTCCCAGTCCATTGACCTTTTTCACTCCTTATGCTGTATTTAGATGGAAATAAGATGACACGTACCAGTTCCATCTTGGAGCGCTAAGAGATCTTCAGGCTCACAAACTAAGATTAACCTACTAACATGGGCCACTGATAACGATGAAAACGTGGAAGGAGAGGCAGTGTAAGTAAAAGAGAAACCTGCATCCAGACAATAAGTAATGAGGATCTGATGGTGATAAAGATGAATTTAAAAGACAGGAGTAAACATATGAATGACCTACACACAAGAATTCAGATTTTCTGATGTTTTATGTGTGGTACAGCCTATTCATAGAGAATAGGTGTGTCAAATAACACATATTTAATTTTTATATCCAATATCCAGTATCTTTATAGAAGTGACTACTCATTATTATGTTCATTTTAGGTAATCTGAAGTCCTAAAACCTGCCTTATACGTTTGGCATAGAATTGTGTTCCCTGGTAATGCCCACTAATGAAATGTTTAGGGAACTCAACTGTGTTCCTTCAGAAGCTTCTGAGTCTGCCATCACTTTCGGTGAATCAGTGCTTCTGAAAAGTGAATTCAATAATTAATACGAGTTATTTTTCTGTGAATTTAGCTTTTTACAGTTGTTAAATCAGCTGAGCTGTTATACAGTTTATAAAACTATATTAAAATTTAATATGATTACTCTAAAGTGGCTAAGGTTTTAAAGTTTTCCCAACTTTTTCAGAGCTTTATTAAAGCATTAAATATAAAGTGCTCTCTTAGCCACAGTATGACTAGTTATTTATTGGTTAGAATGACAAATCTACTTGTCTGAGAAGATGCTGAGTTAGAAGTTCTGTTCAGACAGTCCCCAAATTGCCTTTATGCAGCACAGTGGATAAAAATCTGAAAACAGAATTGGTTATTGATTTTTGTTTTGCATTGGTAGCAAGAGAAGAATAATACTGTAACTTTTTTTTCAAGCATACAAGTTCTGTACATAATTTTTCTCTGTCATTTTTGTGTGGCTTTTGGTACCACTAGAACATTCCATATGACCCTAACTCTATTTCTTATATTTCTGTGAGATTCTTTGAGTCTAAATACCTCTTTATTACAAGTTTCTTTACCCATGGGATTCCTGTTGCTTTTACTTAAGAGATAGCCCAGAACTCCTCTTACATTCTTTTCAGAAGTGTTCATGTTGGTTTATGGTAGAATAGATTTCAATGTAGGTTTCCCTTCCTTCCTTCCTTCCCCATTTTGATGTTTAGTTATATGTCATCTGGATTAATTTGTTTTTCTTTTTTTAAATTTATTTTAGGCTTAAGTTGTATCTAGATTTTTATAAAATACATTTTAAGACT
The DNA here is from genome assembly GCF_000001405.40 of Homo sapiens. NCBI lineage: Eukaryota > Metazoa > Chordata > Mammalia > Primates > Hominidae > Homo > Homo sapiens. The sequence goes on along the minus strand of NC_000001.11, from coordinate 246,206,156 downwards.
ACTCTTTTTTCCCTAGTATTTCCACATCTAATTGAAGTTGTCCTAAAAACAGTGGAGGAATATTATTTTATTCAATATTTTCTATAGAAAGCCCGATCCTTGCCACACATGCAGCATCAGGGAAAGCCTCAGCTGAGACGTGGAAATTGAAGACAGCATGATGGGTAATTCATCACACCAGTGAATTTAGTATTTGTTCACCCTTTTATAGGCTTTAATATTGTGATCCCCACTTTACATATGAGGAAGTGAAGATTTAGAAAAGTTTAGTAACTTGCCTTAAGAGTGTAGCAGAACTGGGAAGTTTGCTCTTGTTGTTGTTGTCTTTGTTGTTTTTTGAGGTGGCATCTCTCTCTGTCACCCAGGCTGGAGTGCAGTGGCACGATCTCAGCTCAATGCAACCTCGCCTCCTGGGTTCAAGCGATTCTCCTGCCTCAGCTTCCCGAGTAGCTGGGACTACAGGCGCTCGCCACCATGCCCAGCTAATTTTTGTATTTTTAGTAGAGACGGGGTTTCACCATATTGGCCAGACTGGTCTCAAACTCCTGACCTCACGATCTGTCTGCCTTGGCCTCCCAAAGTGCTGGGATTCCAGGCGTGAGCCACCACGCTGGGCCGGAACTGGGAACTTTTAATCTAGTCCTGTCTAATTCCTGTTATGCCTGGATTGAACAAAAGCAGAGATGTATGAGAGTGAACACTGTCCCTCATATTGTGCTTTTCCTGTGGCGAGTTGTGGCTAGACTGCGCATGACTGTACTGGATATTTCATGGGAAAGGACTCCAGGAGGGAGACCATGCCCACATTTATAGTGAAAGAAAAGAGGGTTTGGAGCACTTCATTGGAACACTGGAAGCTTCCTGGTCAAGAAAATAACTTTGTTAGAAAGAGATGACACCTAAGTATTTTCTTGAGCTAATTTGTGATAGCTGAACTGTATCTCCTTGTAAGGACCACCCTAGGTTTCTGTCTTCTTACGTCTAAATTCCATGCCTCCTTTTAAGTACAAAACTTCTTTTATTGTCATCTTCATAGACTCCACCCTTCTGGAGTAATTTTGACAGTTCATAAGTGAAGTGACAGATGAGAAGAGGCTAAATTCAGTGTAGTTCGGAGTGGGTTCAAAGGAACCCCCTCCGCAGAGCAGCACACTGGTATCTCAGGAATTAAGTCTGGCTCTCAGGCTAACAGATGTAAAAGATAGTTCTGGCCTGATGTATTTCTCCTGCAAATGAAGTTATGTTAGAATAGTTTAAAAATTAAAAGCCAGGAGATTCTGAGTCAAGGCCTGAAGAGTTTGCTTATGAGTGAAATTAATGAATGAACATTAATCACCTATTTTGACAATTCATAGAATTTTTTTCTTACCTTCTGATGATTGACTGTGTTCTAAAATGTTAAGCATGCAGATAAATGGACCTTTTGGGTAAATGACAGAATGATATCAGCATTTGTCTCTTTGGAAGCTCAATTGTGCCATTTGAAGGAAAAGTGGGGATTTTAAGCTGTCGTGCCATGTAAGAGTATATATGTGACATGATGGTCCAGAATCTTGCTAAACCAGTGAAGCAAATAGGTAAATTAAGTGGTGAGCTTTGACAAAGGTAAGATTCTTTGATTTATCATTCCTCCATTTCATTGGGTTGTTCTAAAGAAAGAGTTAAGCCAATTTATTTAGTAATCATTTACTGAGCCCACATTCTATGCTGGACACAGTGCTCAGCACTGGAAATATAGAGACACAGGATCTGCTTTCAAGGAGCTCACACTTGAGAAGGGAAGCATGGCAGGTAAGATATGGGGGCTTCAGCATTAGCTGTTTAAGTGGGGTCTGGGAAAAGGAATTGGTACAAAGAAGCCTGTTTTCATTAATGTGAGGATGAGTGACAGGTCAGGAAATGGGGAAAGTAAATTTAAGAGATTATAGGGAAAAAATAGGGGAAAAATAGATTATAAACCTATTTTATTTGGCCCACTTACAGTTTTTGGGGGGAGTTTCTGTTTTTATTATCAGCATATAAAACTTGGGAAATTACATATAAATATATTTCTGGGTTCTCTTACAAAACACAGTAGATACCCTGGGCTCTGTTTTCACACCTGACTGAAGTTAGCTGGCAATGGATAGTGATCTCCACCTTTAGCAGGCACTGGTACTCTCTTGTTCTCCATCCGGTCCACTTAGGATTCTCCTGGCTCCTCTATATTTGAGTTTGAGACTTCTAGTTTAGGGTATTTTCACATCTTGGCAGTGATGGGAAGCAGCTAGATAGGACAGGGGGAAGATCTGGACTAGGAGTGGGTTGTTGGTGCATTAAATATGAAAAAGATTTGAGGATGTTATTGACTGAGGTAGAAGAGCCAGGAGCAAGTGAGAAACCCAGGAGAAGGAGAGTGTGTTCTGGGCTGAACTGTGTCCCCGCAAATTCATATGTTGATGTTCTAACCACCGGTACTTCAGAATGTGACCATATTTGGAGAGAAGGTCTTTGAAGAGGTGATTTAACATGAGGCCTTTAGGGTTGACCCTAGTCCAGTATGACTGGTGTCCTTGTAGGAAGAGGAAGAGACACCAACAGCACATGTGCGCAGAGGGACTGCCGTGTCAGGAGGCAGCAAGACAGTGGCTCCTCCAGCCAGAGAGGGCTCGGAGGAAACCAAACCTATAGATACTTTCATCTTGAACTTCCAGACTCCAGAACTGTGAGAATCAGTTGCTGTTGTTTCAGCCACCAGTCTGTAGTATTCTGTTATGGCAGCTCTAGCGAACAACCATGGGGAGGTGCTGGCGTCCAGAAGCGGGAGAGAATTGATGGAGCAGAGATTGTGTCTGATGGTGGCTGAACAAATCCCCAATATCTTGCACACATCTGGATTAAAGCTCTGTGGATATTTATTGAATTAATTTCACTGAAGGACCAGTGAGAGGGAAACAAAGCCCTGGGGTCAGAGGGATTTGCTGTGGACCAGGGAAGGAAACTGGAGAAAGTTCTTAAGTCTCCAGCCTTTATTTTCTTTTTCTTTTTCTTTTCTTTTATTTTTTGAGACGGAGTCTTGCTCTGGAGTGCAGTGGTGCGATCTCAGCTCAGTGCAACCTCACCCTCCCAGGTTGAAGTGATTCTCCTGTCTCAGCCTCCTGAGTAGCTGGGATTATAGGCGCCCACCACCACGACCAGCTAAATTTTGTATTTTTAGTAGAGACGGGTTTTCCCATATTGGCCAGGCTGGTCTCGAACTCCTGACCTCAAGTGATCCACTATCTTGGCCTCCCAAAGTGCTGGGATTAAAGCGTGAGCCACCTCACCCAGCCTCCAGACTTTATTTTCTGGGCGAAGAGGTGGAGGAGTGATTGGGTTGGATTTGTTACTGTGGTATCACCATATTCTCTCACTAGCCATGGAGGCTTTAGGCTTATGCATAAGCAGGTATCATAATGTATTGAATGGAAAAGGATTTGGAGTATATTTTGTTAGCTAGCGTGATACCAGGAAGTCCTTGTTGTCAAGAACTGTTGTTTTCAAGGAGGAATTGCATTTCTGAGACTGTGCGTGGATTTAATACGTCACATTTCGATGATTTGAGGGAGATGGTGATGGGTTGGGGAACTGAGGAAAGGGAGAAGTCTCTGGAAAAGCCTCTGAGGAAAGGGGGAAGGAGTTGACTCGGTTCCAGCTGAATTCTTGCAGGCAGAGTCAAGGCCCAGCCTGGGGTTTGCAGTAGCAGGAGTCCTCTGACTTGGTTGGAAAAAGAACTTGGGCTAAGAGATTGGAAAGCTTCATAGGCCAATGATAGGGCGGTCAGATATGAAAAATGTAAAGGTGGTCATGTAGAAATGAGAAAGGATCAAATGTGTTCAAATTTATTTATGAGAAAAATGGATTTTTAAGGCAGTGTTTCAGGAACTACAGTACTAAATAAAAGGACTGATATGTATATGTCACTGTTTTTTTAAATTAAAAATATTTCAAATCATAAAAGTACATTATAGAAAATATCGTTAAGTAAAAGTATTAAATAAAAATCACCCATTAGCTCACCATCTAGAAATAATAATTATTATTTTGCAGTACATATTTCCAGTTTTTCTATGTATGTATCAGTATAAATCATTTAAAAATGGCTTTTTTTTGTTTTTTTTTTTTAAATTGAGACAGAGTCTCTGTTGCCCAGGCTGGAGTGCAATGGCATGATCTCAGCTCACTGCAACCTCCACCTCCCGGGTGCAAGCGATTCTCCTGCCTCAGCCTCCTGAGTAGCTGGGATTATAGGCATGAGCCACCACGCCCAGCTAATTTTTATACTTTTAGTAGAGACAGGGTTTCTCCAAGTTGCCCAGGCTGGTCTCAAACTCCTGACTTCAAGTGATCCACTTGCCTCGGCCTCCCAAAGTGTTGGGATTACTGGCGTGAGCCACCGCGCCTGGCCTGAAAATAGTTTTTAATAAACCCAGTGGACCTGTAGGTGATTGATGTGAACCGGATCATTATGCTTCCGTGACATTTCTTGGTTTGAAGTGTGGTAAGTTAGAGCAACTGAGATTTTCATAAACACTTCATTTCTGGGTTTCATCTGAACATTGTCATCCTCATTTTGCTGATACTTCCTCCTTTCCCAAGGTCAGCAGGCCGTGACAGCTGGTACTGCCATGTTTTTGATGGCCTAATTAAATATTTCATATAAAATGCATATTACCATCTGCTTAGGTTACAGATATAGTGACCCAAATAATAAACAAAATAGCATGCGTGTGCTTAAGCTGATCCAGAGAGATGAACACCCATTTTCTGCATGGTAGAAAAGTGCTGGGCTTGCGCTGGTTTAAAAAATGCTCCTGCTTTAACCCCCTATTAATAAGGTTGACTGCCATTAGGGATTAGCAATTTTTGTGGATGTGTCCATATTCTCATCTGGTATCTCTTATTACTGCTACCATATATAAGGACTGATAGACTTACTTAGAGGGGAATCTTGAGCTTGTAGGGATGAGCAGATTATTAATTTGTCTGTAAGAATTGTACTTGTCACGTTGGTATCACCATTTTCTGTCAATAGCCATGGAAACTTAGGTTTATATAAAAGCAAATAACATATTTTGATTGAATGAAAAAGATTTGCTGAATATGTTGTGAGAAAACCTTGTTAATATGGGGGCAAGAAATCCTCGTTGTCAAGAAACATTGTTTTCAAAGATGACTTGCATTTCTGAGACTTCATGGATTTAATGTTTCACATGATGCTTTGATAAGAAACTTTTTTTTTGGTTGGGAGGTAGAAGAGGTTAGAAAGACCTAGGTTTGATATCATGACTTTAGCTAAGTAACTTAAATTTGGTGAACTTCATTTTCGGCTCTAGAAAGATGGGGTTGATAATACCCACGTCAAAAGGTTGTTTGGAGAATCAAATCATATATATGAAAAGCAAAATGCCTACTGTAGTTCCTGGGGAATTGTTAGTTGTTCCCATCCCGTGCATCTTCTCTATTACAGTGGGCGTCTGTGTACATTCTTGCTCAGTGTCTACGCTGTTCTCCTCTATCTTCTCTATTATAGTGACGTCTGTGTACATTCTACCTCAGCGTCTACGCTGTTCTCCTCTATCTTCTCTATTACAGTGGGTGTCTGTGTACATTCTTTCTCAGCGTCTACACTATTCTCTATCTTCTCTATTACAGTGGGCGTCTGTGTACATTCTTGCTCAGCATCTACGCTGTTCTCCATCTTCTCTATCACAGTGGGCGTCTGTTTACATTCTTGCTCAGCGTCTGCGCTGTTCTCCATCCTCTGTATCACAGTGGACGTTTGTGTACATTCTTGCTCAGCGTCTACGCTGTTCTCCTCTATCTTCTCTATTACAGTGGGCGTCTGTGTACATTCTCGCTCAGCGTCTACACTGTTCTCTACTCTATTACAGTGGGCATCTGTGTACATTCTTGCTCAGCGTCTACACTGTTCTCCTCTGTCTTCTCTATCACAGTGGACATCTGTGTACATACTTGCTCAGCGTCTACACTGTTCTCTATCTTCTCTATTACAGTGGACGTCTGTGTACATTCTACCTCAGCGTCTATGCTGTTCTCCTCTACTCTATCACAGTGGGTGTTTGTGTACATTCTTGCTCAGAGTCTACACTGTTCTCTTCTATCTTCTCTATTACAGTGGGCGTCTGTGTACATTCTACCTCAGCGTCTACGCTGTTCTCCTCTATCTTCTCTATTACAGTGGACATCTGTGTACATTCTTGCTCAGAGTCTACACTGTTCTCTATCTTCTCTATTACAGTGGGCGTCTGTGTACATTCTTGTTCAGCATCTACGCTGTTCTCCATCTTCTCTGTTACAGTGGCTGTCTGTGTACATTCTCGCTCAGCATCTATGCTGTTCTCTTCTAGGAATAGCATCTCCGTGTTTACTTTGTTTAACTTCCACCTTGGATAAAGCCTTGGTGTCATTGTCAATCAAGATCTCCTGGTAAGCATCCACCCCACCAAGCCAGCGAATCAGGTGTGCTCTTCTGAATTTTGTACGTGACAAGATATTGGAAATGTGTCAAACGTTGTCCTGAAGGGAGGGAGTATCCAGTAATTTCTGTTTAGAGCCCTGTAACTGCTCTAAGCCCTCACAGTAAATACTTTTTTCAAAACAAAACAAAACTTAAAATAGCCTGGTTGGCTGTATACCAAAGTTCCCTGTTTGGTGCACTGAATTGGAAATAATTCCACAAGCAGATGCATTCATTTGTTTAATCCAAGAATTATTAAGTGATTTCCTTATTCTTTATATATCCAGTGTGAGGTGCTGAGTGCATTCATAGAAGAGAAATATCAGGTTCCCTGTCCCTGGGGTGTGCTCAGCTCAGTGACTTCACAGAGGGCACGTGATCTTAGAGTAGTAGCAGACGTGGAGCATAGCCTGAGGCACAATCCCAGACTGAATTTTGTATTAGGTATAGTGACAGTTAATCTAACTCTAAAAACATCAGTTATGGACATAAGGATGGGAACAGTAGGTACTGGGACTACTAGAGGGGGAAGAGGGGATGGGGGCAAGGGCTGAAAAACTACCCATTGGGTACTAGGCTCACCCCCTGGGTGATGGAGTCATTTCTACCCCAAGCCTCAGCGCCACACTACATACCCATGTATCGAGCCTGTGGATGTACCCCCGAATCTAAAATAGAAGTTGAAATTATAAGCAAAAATTTACATTAAAAAACCCTTTAATGCCCATTAGTTACTTATAATCTGTTTAAAGAATAGCCAGTTGCTCTCAGCCTTTTCATTTGTTTCATTAATTGCATCTGTTTATTTACTCAGTCTGGTCAAGAAAAATACCCTTAATCGTTTATATTAAAAAGTAGGTGCCACTATAAAATTCTAAGCTTTTGCTGAAAATCGTGACCTTTGATTGTTCATACTGGTAATTTATTTCTCATTTTTATGTTGCAATTACAACATTCAAAGCAGTAGACTAAGATCTAATGATTTAGAAGCACCAGAGGCATTGCTGGGCCAGGATGACAAGCCTTTAATGACTCTCTTAGGCAGTAAAAAAGCCACTGCAATTGCTGTATGAATATTCATTTAAGAAGCATTCATTGGTTGTAAATCTTTTAACATGTAGACTTTAAAAAAGATGAATAACATACTATGTACCCCGGTCATTCTTATTGAATGTGTCTTCAGATATTTTTTATCAAATTCATTTTACTGCTCTTTTTGCTTATGAAAATAAAATAGTATTTCATTAGTTGAGCTCATTTGAATATTAGAAATAAACAGAGTTCATATCATGTGAAATTGCTGACAGCTCTTAAAATCAGTCCTGCACTTTGCCCAGAGGCATTATTCACATTGCTGGTTACATCTGTTCTTGGGAAAGAGAACCTGCCTTGACTGTGAATGGGGGTCCAGTTTGCCCCAGGTTTAGTCCCTGTGATACTCAGCAAATGTTGCCTGGTTCTTTACTAAATATGGCTACCCTGTGATGAGAAGCTTTGGGCTGATTGGGCCTTATTTGTCTTCTTTTCTCTTACTGGGAAAGCAAAGACTGCTGAACATAACTGATGTCAGAATGGGCCCGTGTTAGCTATATACTGTGTACAGGTCAAGCACATAACTATTAATAGTAAAAATCAACTTAGACAGGGGAACGGGATTCAGATCCAGCAGTTTTATCCTAGCCCACACTCTTAACCACAATTACAATGGCAAACAAATAAATATTTTTAATTGTATGCAGTATGATTTAGTATTGGAAAGACTGTTTAAATTTTTTAAATAGACTTTAAATTTTAGAAAGTGTAGATATACAGCAAAATTGTGAATAGTACAGAGTGTTCCCCTATATATTCTGTACCCAGTTTTCCCTATTGACACCTTATATTAGTATGGTGCATTATTACAATTAATGAACCAATATTGATATACTGGTACTAACTAAAGTCCATACTTTATTCAGATTCCCTTGGATTTTACCCAGTGTCTGTACCAGTATGCCACACAGGATACCACGTTATTTTTGGTCCTTGTGTTGCTTTAGGCTTCTCTTGGTACAGTTTTTCATACTTTCTTTGTTTTTGATGATCCTTGACAGTTTGGAGGAATATTATTGGTCAGGTATTTTGTAGAACGTACCTTACGTGGAAAGAAGGTAATACCTGTCTGAATTTTTTTTCATGATTAGAGTGGAGTTACGGATTTTGGGGAGGAAGACCACAGAGATAAAGTGCCGTTTTCATTACATCCTACCTGGAATATGCTCTATTGACTTGACTTGTTGATTTTGACCTTGATCACCTAGCTGAGGTCGCGTTTGTCAGCCTTCGCCACTGCAGAGCTCCTCCTTTTCCCTTCCACACTGTCCTCGTCACAGGGACGTCACTAGGCACCACCCAGACCTAAGGAGAGGGGAGCCACGTTCCACCTCCTTGAAGGAGGAGTATTTAATATGTAAATTATTTGGAATTCCTCTGAACAGGAGATTTGTCTTTTATTTATATCAGTATGTATTCGTACACAATTTATTTTATATCTCTAGTTATAATCCAATACTACTTTATGTTCTTGCCCAAAATATTCTAACTTTTGGCCGCAGGGAACTTTTTCAGTTGATTTCTGTGTCCGTTTGACATATCCTCATCATTGCAGAGTTGTTTTTTTTTTTCTTTAGCACCTCCTCACTTTCTGGCACTACAAGATGCTTCAGGCTTATTTTTTATGTTTCCTGCTCATATCCTAGAAGCAGCCATTTCTTCAATGTGCCCTGTTTTCTTTTATTGGAGAATAGTTTTAGAAATTGGAGAATTTAGAAATTGGAGAATAGTTTTAGAAAACAAGATTGGGCACTATTTATGTTTATTGCTAATGAGTTTTCTTTGCTTCTAGGCCCTATGAAAGTTTTAACTTTTAAATTTTTTAAGCTGCTTGAGCTGCTATACTAAGCAACTATTTCTGTAAATGTTGGTGGCCAAAAGTGTTAAATAAATAGTTTAAAATTTGTTTTTCATTGGGGAAAGAATGTTGTATTGTAGTTACAGTTGAGAATTGCCAAAAATAAAATTTAAAAAGAACAATACTTAGAAGAACATTTCTAAAAACATTTCTTAGAATTGTATAATTGTCTCAGTCAACTTGCTTTTATTATTTTTCAAGATAATTTTTAATGATTTTATACAAAGCAGTGATTCCCTGGGTAATGATTGTGAAGATTTTGCCTTTTGTGCTTCTCTTTTACAGTGGATTTTTCATTTATTTAACTTGGATTAGAATTAGAAATGCAAATACGTCAGCAATTGAATTTACCCCTTGGAATCTTGCTTTTTGCTGGACATTTACTATCTGAATTACACAAAGGAAAAAAGACAAGGAGCAGTGTCTGTACCCAGGAGTTATTGTCTAGTAGTTAATAACAAGCACTGTACAAGCATTGATCAGTCAAAACAGGAAATTTAGAAACAACCAGGAGACCATATCAGATGTATTCTGGGCAAATATCACCCCTGCCCAGGCCTAAAGAACTGCCAAAAATCTTTAAAATATTGGCTTATAAATAATGTGAAGTAGAAAAAAAATTTAAACATGACATCTCAGTGATATTTCTGCAAAGGGAGGTTTTTTTTTAAATAAAGAAGTGACAGTAAAATTGATTTTCACTAGCTTTAAAGACAGTATCATCCTCTGTATCGTAAGATATTACTCTGAGAAACACCCCTTCATTCTTTCAGGTGAAAGGCAGCCTATTATCACAGGCAGCCAACCACTGCAACAGCTGGTATTGACAAAGGCTCTGACCCCTTTTGGTTAAAAATGAAGCAAAAATCTGAGTGTTCGTAGGGCTTCCTAACCTCCGGTTGAGCTATATGTAAGAACCCTTCACCCATTATAATAATCCAGGTATGCGATGTTGTATTACAGTGACCTGCAGGGTCATGACTTAGTGAGAGGCATTCTTTGTCAACACAGGGAAAGTTAACACAGAAGGTAAAATTTAGAAGAAAGGTGAATGGTTATAATATTCTTTCAGTGCGTGTGTGTGTGTGTGTGTGCGCGCGTGCACGCACATTTGTGTGTATATATTTGTATATTCCTTCAGCAACATGTCATATGGTCTAGGAATCCCTGGGCGATTTCTGGTTTTGGAGAATAGGATGTGAATGTACCTCTGAAACTGACAGAATGATGTATTACCTTGTAGGTCACTGGAGTAGAGTCCAGATGTGCTTAAGCATTTATGAAAAGTTACCTATTGTCACAGAGGCCCCGTACCACATGAGTCCTGTGAGACTTTAAAGGAAATCTAACCAAAATTGAACTCTATTTCAGGTATAGCATTTTCTGTGGTTTGATAATGACATTATACCTATTAAAATAATTTTTTGCCCTCATTATTAAAACCATTAGTTTATTTAGTGACTTCACAGTCACAAGTTTTTTATATTTCCTGGGCAAGCAAAACCTCAGTAGCATAAACTTAGTTTTGTCACTGCCCCGGGGATCCCACTTCATATGGGCCAATAAATTTCCAGGCAACTACAAGTATTATGTCATATGTGCAAAAATGTGATGTCTTTTTTGATCCAAACCTTTGCCAGACATTCAAGAGAGGTTAGGATGTAGTAAGTGTTTGTAAAAGACTGGAGCTCTCAGTAGGCCAAGTATAGCGTAGAAACTGGCAGTGGTGAAAACCTGGCTGCAGGTACAAGAGAACACACGTATATGGATTGTAGTTACAGCTTTAGTGTGAGCGAATTAATCTTCATTGTACGAGGGACCCAATGTAATTCTTCAGACGTTTTTGTGGAAAATCTTCGTGAAGGAGACTTAGATCATTGTTGTGCCGTAGAATTTCTCTGATAATGGAAATGTTCTCTCTTTGTTGTGCAATATGGCAATCAGTAGCCGTTTTCATGTATCAAACACTTGAAATGCGTTGAATGTGACTGAGGAATTGAATTTCAAATTTAATTTTAATGATGTTTTAAATTTAAATAGCTACATGTGGTTAGTGACTACCTTTTGGATAGCACAGCTCTAGATGGCTAGGTTTGGCATGTCTACTCGTGAGATAATGTCTGTGAAAAACTGTGGCATGCAGCCGGGTGCAGTGGCTGACGCCTGTAATCCCAGCACTTTCGGAGGCCTAAGCAGGCGGAACACGAGGTCGGGAGTTCGAGACCAGCCTGGCCGATATAGTGAAACCCTGTCTCTACTAAAGATACAAAAATTAGCCGGGCATGATGGCACATGCCCGTAGTCCCAGCTACTCGGGAGGCTGAGGCAGGAGAACCGCTTGAACCCAGGAGGTGGGAGGTTGTGGTGAGCTGAGATCGCACTACTGCACTCCAGCCTGGGTGACTGGGCGAGCCTCCATGTCAAAAAAAAAAAAACAAAAAAACCCCACAAGAACTGTAGTATATGAAGTGTTCAAAAAAATGTTTACTTTTCCCCTTAGGAAGTGTGTAGACCCCCTTGATACTTTTTTAAAACAACAACCCACAGGTTAATAAATCTTTTGTTTTAACTTTCCCAGTATAGTGCCATTGCTCATGTACCTCTTAAATTTCATGATGGTATGAGGAACCTTTAGAGCTGCAGTTATAGAGAAGTACATAAAAACAGCGTACCTCTCTTAATTGTGCGCCACCCCCAAATGAAAGAGAACATAATGACCAATTTGTATCCATTTTGTTCCCCAGCACTGGCTTGCGTGAACATGATTTAGAATGCTTTGCTGCTTTTGCCATTTTGGTGTACGTTTGAATAAAAGGGAAAGCTTGAAAGGGGACACAAAGGTAAGAAAGAAAAGAAGGCCTAGAATTAAAGAGGGAGAAAAAGAAGCGTGAGTACCCGGAGAGCTGCGAGGACGATAGCAGCCGTCTGCGGCTCGGAAGAACTGATTGTAGATCTACAGGAAGTGTGCTGTTGTGCTGCTGGCGGAGGCCGTCCCTGAGGAAGTAGGAGAAGACCACTAGGGCTGTGTCTAAGGTAACTGTAAGGCCTCTCCATCCTTTCTGCTGATTATGACTAGCAGCTAATTTGGATCTGATTTATACTGTGGGGAAGAAGCTTGGAGAGAAACGTGGGGTGCCAGTGTGATGGGGGTGGGTCAGTGAATGGCGGCTTGCTGTCTCTGTAGATCAGGCCACAAGGCCACTGCTGGGGCTGCCTCTTTTGTCGTAGGGACTTAGTCTAGAGTTTTATTGAAGGGTACGTAAAAGATCATACAAATAAACATATTCTGAAGAATACATTCATCAGTACAGTCTAATTTAAATCTCCAGATAGTTGGTAATTTTGCTTTTTATGGACAAGTCTTTTCATCGAACTATTTCTATTTCTATGTGATCTTGTTGTATTTTAAATGTTAATTTATTCTTCCAATCTCTTCTTCCTTACTTTCATCCCAGAATTTTTTCAGATCTGTATGTTTCTACCAATGTGGCTCTCAGGTTGTCCCTAATTTGTCAGAGGCTGTAGTACCATATTTTCTTAACTGGTAGTAAACAAGATATGACGATAAATGGGACCTAAGGATACTTCTAATGAGGAATACTTTTGTCTTCACATGTTTTATTGGGTTTAACTAGAATGTAGAATGAAAAACAATATGACTTCTCTGTTTTCTTAGCATATTTTGTTCTTAATTTGGCTGTACTTATTAGAACTCCTCCAAGATTTCCTATAATCATTACATTAAAAGCCTTCATTATCAATTGAAATGCATCTTTTGTAACTACATTTCTTTTTTTTTTTTGACTTTACCTTTTACCTTTTTAAAAGCAATGAATGCATTACTCTTGCCAAGAAAATGTAAAGATCCCAGGAGGACTTACTGTTCTCCTTTTTCCCTAGAGAGAGCTAATCTCAAGTTCACTCTTTTTTTATTAATAGTTGGATTGAGATACATTTAGTCTCATATTTACTCTTTAAAGAATATGTAATCATTACAATCATTACTAATTTTATTTCTTTTCCCTTAACCCTTTTAAAGTTATAAGGAAATAATACTGCATTTTAACATTGATAGGTACCGTAATTTTGGATTTTATTTTATTGTAGCATTTACATTAACTGCGAATCTTGGCTTTAAAAAAGCCACACATAGGTTAGGCACAGTGGCTCACGCCTGTAATTCCAGCACTTTGGGAGGCTGAGGTAGGAGGATCGCTTCGGCCCAGGAGTTCGACACCAGCCTGGGCAACACAGCAAGACTTCATCACTACAAAAGAAAAATTAAAAATGAGCCAGGTTATTTTGGAGCTTTAACATTTAACAACTGCCCTGCTGGGTTCCAAAGTTGCAGGAGTTCTGTAGCCCCTTTCTTTTTGCCAATTTCTTCAATTAAACCTCTTTTCTTATAAATTAAAAAAGTAAATAAGTAAATAAAATAAAAAATAGCTGAGCATGATGGCACATGCCTGTGGTTCCAGCTGCTTGGGAGGCTGAGGAAGGAGGATCGCTTGAGCTCAGGTATTCAAGGCTACAGTGAGCTATAATAATACCACTGCACTCCAGCCTGGGTGACAGAGTGACACCTTGTTTCAACAACAGCAACAAAAACAACAACAAAAGCCACACATAGCCTCTTCTGTATCCAACTTTTAAGTGAAAGTTCTTAAGATCTTCAATGTATGATTCTTAATTTTTTCCGTAATAACAACACTCCAGTGTTTTCAGATGTTTCAGATTGTATCTGTTTTTGTGCAGTGGTTCTCAAACTTCAAGGTGCATCAGAATAACCGATTGCTGAAGTTTCTCATTTATTAGGACTGGGTGGGACTCAACTGCATTTGAACAAGTTCCTGACTTACTGATGCTGTTGGTCCGTGGCCATACTTCAGGAATGACTGTGTTATCATATTTGATTCTTCGAGAATCCAGTGAGATCTTGGGCAGATACAGATAGGGAAAATGAAGCTTGAAGACATTTGTGATCTTTTTCCAGCGACACATCATGAATTAATGGTTGAACAGGTACCAGAACCCATGAAGACCTTTCTGGTTTTCTCCTGCTCATGGCAAGAGTTCAGTTCCCAAAAGACATCTCTCTGATTTCAAATATGTTTGATCTTTTTGTCTTATTCTTTTAAGAGCTATTCATGTGTTTGGATACACACCCCTAATATTCACATTTATTTATAATATATGCTTAAAATTTTCTTGTCTTTCAGTTACATGACTAATTTTTGTGCCTAGAGATGTTCTAAAAATGCAGTGTCTTTCTGAAGAAACAAAACCTTACATAACTTGTCAAGGCCACCCAAGGTTAATCATGAGGAAAAACGTTGAATTTTTTTACCCACCAGCCTAGTCTTCTGGCATTTTTTCACTCTAGCTTGCGGTGATGGTTCTAGGCAGGACCATTATTTGTGGGTCCACCAAACGAGGAATGATCCAAAACAAAGAATCTCAAAACCACATCACCAGACCCTCGCAGAAGGGCCCTGTACTGATTTCAAGGATACTTTTATATTTTGCTGCTTCCATGGAGAACTGATAGTTGGTCTTTAATTGGTACCAAAACATTGAAACTCCTGCGTGTAAGGCAGTGACATACAGAATGCACCGTGAGGTGCGTTTTCTCCGTCTTCCCCTCAGTTTCTCTCTGAACTACCTTAGGGTATTCAGTATGTGGAGCATGTGGACTAGTGTCTTGAACCCGGTGTCAGCCATCCATCAGGATTTACCTGTTGAATATTGCATGGTAAGCTTTGCTAGTATAGTGAGGAAGTGCTGTATGCTTTTCTGATACTGGCTTTTCTAGTTCCTACCTCTCATTTTCTCTTGCTTTCCTTCTTCTGTTCTACTTTGATGTTGGGGCCCCTGAAATACCTTAATCCAAAATAGAAGTCGGGAGGGAAAAAATGATAGCTGGAGAACAAGGTGAAAATCTTGACCTCGACTATCTTCTATTATTTAGTATAGTGTTGGCTTTTTGTGTGTGAGTTGGGGAGGGGGACAAAGAAAATCATGATTTTTAAAAAATTTAGTCTAATTGAGTAGTAATTTAAATCAGTGAGCTTTAGCGACTCCCCTACTTCCCATGCTTCCTTTTTTTTTTTTTTTTTTTTTTTTGAGACAGAGTCTTACTCTGTCACCTAGGTTGGAGTGCAATGGCACGATCTTGGCCCACTGCAACCTCTGCCTCCCGGGTTCAAGCGATTCTCCTGCCTCAGCCTCCCGAGTAGCTGGGACTACAGGTGCCTGCCACCACGCCTGGCTAATTTTTGTATTCTTAGTAGAGACGGGGTTTCACCATATTGGCCAGACTGGTCTCGAACTCCTGACCTTGTGATCCACCCTCCTTGGCCTCCCAGAGTGTTGGGATTACAGGCGTGAGCCACCGCGCCCGGCCTCCCATGCTTTCTAATGCTGAAATAAAACTCTTAAGTATACGCTACGGTCTGTGTGTGGTGCTTTATACGCACCATTTTACTTAATCCTTTGTTAAGCAGTATTATTTTGAGGAAACAGATTGAGAGCGATTATGTAACATGGCCAAGGTCTGACACTTAGTAAGTGATAAACTTGGGTCTTAAATACTAGTCTTTTGGACTTGGGCATTTAAGGACGACTAGCCTGTATTACCTTTCCTTTGAGATCCTTCCTCAGATAGGAGGTGAATTTAATAATCTGGATTTCTTGAAATAAATTAGACTCCACAAAAACAAATCCTGCCTTTAAAACTGATCTCCATATTTCCCCTTGTTTGTTACGGTGCCAGTTCTTTAAACATTTGCTTGAAAAGAGAAATGTACATGTTGCTTTTAGAGACACGTGTCTCCTAAGCACATACAAATGACAGTATTTTGCCGTTGCTGTGCCTGGGAGTTTTTATTTTAGTTATTTGGGCTTTAAAAGCAGCATATGATGGAGTTTCAATATGTCTTAAAACCACGGAGTGCTACCATGATACGTACATAAATAAACCGTAGGGGGTCTCTTTCTTTATTTTGCCCATGGAGATGTCTGATAGCTTTCAGAAAAAAGGCAGCCACCCTAAGTGACTAATGTCACCCATTTGTAGGGAAATAGTTGAGAATTTCTCCCAGAGTATATCCATTAAAAATCACTTCTTTAGCCTCTCCTGTGTCTTTAAAACCTTTTCATCTTTCCTATTTTGTCTTATATGTCCCTTCTTGTTATAGGAGTATGTATTTTAATAACAAATTTAATACAGTATTCAGTCTTAGAACCAGTTAATGTTAGCTGTATAGCAAAAACAAACATATATTCATCCAGTCAGTCATGCTCCAATATGGAATAACTGTTACCGACACTTGCGTTGTTCCCTTGCTTCCTGAGTAGCTTTGAGAAATATCATTCCTGTGAGTCTCAGCTTCCTTATGTCTAAAAAGCTGATGATAGCATCTCTTTAGATATTTGTAAGAGTTGGATGAAATAGTGTGCATTGTAGAAGAAAGCGCCTCTGTGTAGTGGGGTGGGAGGGAGGACATGGCAACAAGGTACCTTTCTCTTTAAGAAGTTAGAAGTTTGCCTTCTGGAAAACAGTTATAAAATCAAAACCCAATGGCTAGTTCGTGCTTCAGCAGCACATATACTAAAAAATTAGAATGAGACAGAGAAGATTAGTATGGCTCCTGTACAAGGGTGACATGCAAATTTGTGAAACACTTCATATTTTTAACATAAACACACACAATGGCTAATGAAACATACAGACCTTTTTTTTTTTTTTTGAGACAGGGTCTTGCTCTGTCACGCAGGCTGGAGTGCAGTGGTGCGATCTTGGCTCATTGCAGCTTTTGCCCTGCAGGCTCCAGTGATCCTCCTCACTAGCCTCCCGAGTAGCTGGGACCACAAATGTGCACCACCATGCCTGGCTCTTTTTTGTGTTTTTAGTAGCGATAGGGTCTCACCATGTTGCCCAGGCTGATCTCAAACTCCTGAGTTCAAGCAATCCACCCACTTTGGCCCCCCAAAGTGTTGGGATTACAGGCATGAGCCACCACGCCTGGCCCCAGACCTCTTAAAGAAGCATATTATGGGTAGGCCTATAATCGAGTTCTTAACATAGATATTAAAAAAAAAAATGTCAACCACAAATGTTAGTAACTTGTGCCACTTTTAAAAAGCAAACTTGTTCAGAGTTTCTGTTTGGGATGACAAAAATCTTTTGGAAATAGTGGTCATGGTTACACAACATTTTGAATTTAATGCCATTGAAGTGTACACTTAAAATGGTTAAAGTGAAAATTTTATGTTATATAAAAATATTTTTAAAAAAGTCAGTGAAGTGAATCTTTGCAGGGCTCCATTAGGCATTGTCTAGGCCAGAGAAAGCTAGAACTGGGGCCATACTGCACAGCTCCTGGGGCAAGGAGATCCTCTTTTCAGAGTCCAATCTGGACTCTGATCGCTCCTGTTCGCTGCTGTATTTCTAGCTCTAGGCCAGGACGTGCTGGATGAATGAACAGTCTGTTTGCTTCATGGTTTGTGCAACTCATTGCTCTTGCTGTAGTGCCAGACACGACAACATTCTGATAGTAGTTTGACTTCCTATGCAGGGAGAAAACATGAAGGTCAGAGGCTGAGTGTCCAGTCCTTTCACCCATTAGTTTTTTTATTGTAAATTAATAAATCGATATTTATTATACATTCTTAAAAATCCCAAAACAAGTTCGAGCTTTACAACTTGACACCAAGAGGTCTACTAGATACTTTTTATCAAGACGGCCCTCAGTGCACGTGAGGAATGTGAGCCACCAAGACCATTGATACGACAATGAAGAGAACTGTTCTTAGGGGGACTTCTTGTAATATTTCCGTCAACAAGTGCTCACATGAAACTAATGCTTCAAAATGGGTTTCTTGTACTTTGCATTGTCATTATCTCCAAGGAATGGGTTCCATTATTGTGGGGTTGTTTGCTTGTTTGTTTAATTCATAGTTTTCTATTCAAACAATGACTTGTTAATCATGTTTGTTTCAAAAAAGATGAATAAAAATTTACTGGTCTCTTTAGGGCTGCAGTCTTGCTTAGAAATGAACGGAATCTAGAAATATTTTAATTAAGAAATTTAAAAGTTTCAAAGCTTGTAGTTTTAAGATGTGCTTGTTTTTTCACAGTGGAGCTATTGAAAAATCCCTCAGCAGCTTGCTTTACCACTGTGTTTTCTGCAATGATCCTCTTGAGCATTTTAAAAGAAAAAAAATTGTGCCAAATTAGTTTTAAACATTATTCCTTGCTTTCTGTTCTCTTCATGTCTATGTCTTGTGTTTCTTTGCCTGAACACAGGACATAAGAACCTTATTGTTTTCTCAGAGTGCTTTTGGGTCCTTATTTGATATCTTTTCCACTCTTCATTCCTATTTGTTTCTCCTTTCTTTTCTTTTCTTTTTTTTTTTTTTGAGACAGAGTCTCACTCTGTTGCCTAGGCTGGAGTGCAGTGGCACGATCTCTGCTCAATGCAGGCTCTGCCTCCGGGTTCACACCATTCTCCTGCCTCAGCCTCCCGAGTAGCTGGGAATATAGGCGTGCGCCACCGCACCAAAGTGCTGGGATTACAGGCATGAGCCACCTTGTTTCTCCTTTCTTAAACGCAGATCTTTTGACTGGAGCTGTGGAACTGGGGTCAGAGTTGAGCTCCATCAGCACATCACCTCGTTATCTAGCACATCACACCTACTTTGTATGTTTGTGTAGCAGACCATTTCTTCTTTCGTGTTTCCTCATTTTACATTTCATCTCTTCAGTCACAGCGAAAAGTTGTTCCGTGAGACCTCTTGCATAATGACTCTAAGGGGCTTCAGAGACATTCTCCTGCGAGGTAACTGTGCCTGTGATGTGGGGAGAGTGTGAGACTGGGAAGCAGAAGACCGGAATGTGATACAGCCTTTCCCACGACTTGGCTGAGGAACTGCTGTTGTGAACCTTTTGCCCTGGTGGGATTATTGTAAGTATTCAGAGGGATCATTTTGAGAGAAGTGCTGTGGACATTGACAGTGCCAGACTCTCACAGGTCAAGTTTTCATTGTCTCTTAGTTTTGGGGCTGATATGAAATGAACTTGGGTCTTTTTCTGAGGGCTTTCAGAAAGTTAGCAATTAAACAAGAATTCTAAATTCTGTTTTTTGAATTCACCCACCGTGCTGTTCTCTGGTTTCAGAGTACTTGTGCATGGTAAGGGACTGTGAGGAAAGACTTTGAAATGATTAAAAAAAAAAGAGCATGTTTTGTCTACTCAACCATCAGGTCAGCTCTGCCTTTCACTGTCTTTGAGCTGTACTAGAATTGTGTGTGCTGCAGAAAATAGACAGTAAAGCGCCTGGTTCTTGTCCATAAAATGCAGTTGTGTTTGGAGAATGCAATAGATTATTTTCCTATGCATATTGACTAGTTTTGCACATTTTACATCTTGCTGGCATTTCTGATGCTTATGTATTTGTGTCTTCTTTGAATTCTTTTAAAAATCAGACTTAGCATCTTACTCATTTTCTAGTGAGTTAAATCTTTTATATGTGTTTTATTAATTTTGAGAATCATTATTTTGCTTTACAGAAAATTATTTCTTAACAATACAGTAAAAAACCACAATTCTGGGAATTAAGGGAACTATTTATGTTACTTTGAGCAAGGTACTGAGCTCTGGTTTTCCTCATTTAAAAAAAATGGTGAGATTTGACCGAGACAAACCTCTAGTCTGTGATTCTATGATTTTATGATTCTGTTATTCTACAATTTAATATTCTGTAAGCCCAAGGTCCACTGTCCTAAGTTTGTTAATATTTAGGTGAATTGGCATAGAATCAAGGAACTAAAGTATGTTATGTATGTAAAAATTGTGTAAGTTCTTTTTGGCATTTTTAGCATACGTGTGCACATAAATTACCATTGTACAAGATACTTTGGTGTTTGTAATTCTTGAAAAGGAATTACCAGCCAGGCACGGTGGCTCATGCCTGTAATCCCAGCACTTTGGGAGGCCGAGGCGGGTGATCACGAAATCAGGAGATCGAGACCATCCTGGCTAACATGGTGAAACCCCATGTCTACTAAACATACAAAAAATTAGCCGGGCGTGGTGGCGGGCGCCTGTAGTTTCAGCTACTCGTGAGGCTGAGGCAGGAGAATGGCTTGAACCCGGGAGGCGGAGCTTGCAGTGAGCCGAGATCGCGCCACTGCACTCCACACTCCAGCCTGGGCGACAGAGCAAAACTCCGTCTCAAAAAAAAAAAAAAAAAAAAAAAGAATCACTAACATGGCAAAACCCTGTCTCTACTAAAAGTACAAAAATTAGCCGGGCGTGTTGGCGGGCACCTGCAGTCCCAGCTACTCAGGAGAATGAGGCAGGAGAATCGCTTGAACCCGGGAGGCGGAGGTTGCAGTAGCCGAGATCGCGCCACTGCACTCCAGCCTGGGGGATAGAGCAAGACTCTGCCTCCAAAAAAAAGGAATTATATTACTTGAATTGCTATTGACAGTTTTCAGTAGTGAGTAAAGGAAGGGTGAGCATTCTCCAGGCAGCTTTTTAGATAAGAAGAAAAATTTATTTGCCTTTAAAAATTCTTGGCATATAACACCATTAGTGCTTATAGAAAATGATGGCTGTTATTGAAGTCTGTGACTTTTTAAAACCATTATTAAGTTCAAAAAGCATTTCTAAAACATCTAGCCTTACAGAGCATTGCATTAGGAAATGTAAGAAACAAATTGAAACTTTTATTCCTGCTGTTTGGGTAGTCACTATTAAGCATCAATGTGGTAGGTATGTCTGAGCCACCTCAGGGTACTGTAACAAAACTCCACAGACTGGGTGGCTTAAAAAACAGAAATTTATAATTCCTCACAGTTCTCAACACTAGAAGCCTAAGACAAGGTTCTGGCCCACTAGGTTTCTGGTGAGGTCTCTCTTCCTGGCTTGCAGATGGTGCCTCCTTGCTAAGTCCTCACATGGCCCTTCCTCATGCAAGCACACAGGGAGGAAGGGAGCAGGTCAATGAGCTCTCTGGTCTCTACCTGTGAGGACACTAATCCTATTGTGTCAGGTCCCCACCTGTATGACCTCATTTAACCTTAATTACTGTCTGAGAAGCCCCTTCTCCAAATAGAATCAGAGGGTTAGGGCTGCAACGTAAGAATTTTGGGAGGACACAAACATTTAGTCCATAATCTGTGATATTGTTAGAAGCAAGAAGTCACACATCTGAGGTACAGATTGAGGATGGCAAGAAGTAGTCTCCCCAGAGGAGGCCTGGTCATTGTTGAAGACAGCCAAGAGTTGGTGAGTTTGATGCCAATCTGGGTGCTTCTATAATTAGAAGATACTAATTATACTGACCCATTCCTATTTATCTGTTCTAATTTTTCAGTGGTTACAAGGTTTTCCCAATAGGAAAAAAGGGCAATATACTTGCTTTTCTTTCTTTTTGGATTTTAAGCCTGAGACCTCTTTGGGTCATGATATATATATTTAGATTCTTTCAGCATGTGTAACAATATCCCAGAAAGGACTAGTGTTTTATATTCTTTTAACTCCTGGTTTTTCTACCTACTGCCTTTACTGCTTTGGTGCTCA